>NW_017363817.1:0-281919 GCF_000001405.40 Homo sapiens | reverse complement strand
ATATATATATGTATGTATATTCTATGAAACACCCTTCATTAAAACTGCATGCAAAATGCTAAGCAAATGTGTATTTTTCCAGGGAAAGGATCTGTGTAGAGTTCTTCAGCTCCTCCAAGGGGTCCAGACTCAAAACAGATTAAGAACTACTGTTGTACACGAGGAAGAAGCGTGGCAGCTGAAGATCCAGCTCTGGGAATGCAGGAAGAAGTGGAGTCGAAAAAACAGGTTATGGAAGATGCTTAAGGGTTTTAGATACGATGAATTAATGTTAGCTACATTATAATGATTGTACTAGTTAATGTCAGTTTTGTAAAAAGTGTTTTTATAGTTGTTGGCATATATAAAACTTGCACAAGAGGGTTTATTAATTTGGCCTATATAATTATTACTTCCTTGAGTAAGGGAAAGGATTGCTTTAATATGAACCCAACGTAGCCAGTGTAAAAGGTTTTCATTTTAAAAGCCTTTGGGAGATATCATGTGAAAATGGCCGTGGGAACAGGGGAGCTGCTGAAACTAGCTGGAAATCATGACCGGCTTAGCAAGAATGGGCATGCAGAGAACCAGAGTACCAACCTAAACAAAACTGGTGTCCAGGATACAGGGAGGGTTCAGAACCATCCGAATGTCAATCAAGAACAAATGCCAGGCTCCAGGAGATTCAGGAAATTCAGGAATCAAGGACAGTGAAAGAACCAGTCATCGTGAAAAGCCACGTACTAGAAACAGTCCATAAAGAAGCACCAAGAGAACATTTTGAGCTGATTTCAAGGGGAAATTATACCCTATTCCTCCACTACAAGTTGGCCTGGGACCTTGTGCCACCCAGAGTGACGATAGGATCTAAAGGTGATTGCTTGGGAAGCCTAGGGGGCATTTTGGAGATGTGTGGGAGGTATTGCTGCTTCTGTCACTGTTGAGGAAAGGTACTGCTTGACTGGCATTTAGTGGGCATGGACCAGGTAATTGAGACGTCCTGCAATTCTTTTTTCACAAGCAGTTTTACAGAAGGCTCAGCTATTTTGGAGAAGGTCCTTACAGAGAGGGAAGCTTATGTGGAAAGATACCGTCTTGATCTTATGGAAGAACACACTTTGCACAGTGTCTACTCCGTATATGACGGGGCAGTTACCTCTGCGCTCTGACAACAAGGTTGCAAATATAACCGGATATTGGAGATTCCTTTCCACAGAGTTATTAACGCTACATTGACACAGACACATGACATTTAGAGATCTCACTGAATTTCATTAACAAAGGCTGTTTTAAAATTCCTATTTCTAGACAGTATACGTAAAGCATTTTTTGGCAAGGTGAGAAACGTTATGGAAACTCCTCATGTGAGGTTTGGTGTTATGTTTCCATCTTAGTCTGACGTTTCCTCAAGGGGTGCCACACAACCCCCTCACAGCCTACTGTATACTCCCTTCCAATCCATGCTCCCCCAACTCCTACACAGCCTACTGTATACTCCCTTCCAATCCATCCTCCCCCAACTCCCTCAGCCGACTGTATACTCCCTTCCAATCCATCCTCCCCATCTCCTACACAGCCTGCTGTATACTCCCTTCCAATCCATCCTCCCCATCTCCTACACAGCCTGCTGTATACTCCCTTCCAATCCATCCTCCCCATCTCCTACACAGCCTACTGCATACTCCCTTTCAATCCATCCTCCCCCAACTCCCTCACAGCCGACTGTATACTCCCAATCCATCCTCCCCATCTCCTACGCAGCCTACTGTATACTCCCAATCCATCCTCCCCCAACTCCCTCACAGCCGACTGTATACTCCCTTCCAATCCATCCTCTCCACCTCCCTCACAGCCTACTGTATACTCCCTTCCAATCCATCCTCCCCATCTCCTACACAGCCTACTGTATACTCCCTCCCAATCCATCCTCCCCACCTCCCTCACAGCCTACTGTATACTCCCTTCCAATTCCTCTCCCCATCTCCTACACAGCCTACTGTATACTCCCTCCCAATCCATCCTCCCCCAACTCCCTCACATCCTACTGTATACTCCCTTCCAATCCCTCCTCCCCCATCTCTCTCACAGCCTACTGTATACTCCCTTCCAATCCATCCTCCCCCATCGCCTACTAAAGGCCACAGTCTCCAAGGTTTCGTTTTGTTTTACTTTTAAAGTATTAGAGACTGAATTTCTGCCTCAGACGGTGAAATTTCAAGGTAGAAAAATGTTTTCTGTGAAACTTTGTCATCACTATACCCTATCCTACAGCAAAATAGGAAGTTGGTTTTTGTTTGTTTTTGAGACAGAATCTTTCTGTGTCACCCAGGCTGGAGTGCAATGGCACGATCTTGGCTCACTGCAACCTCTGCCTCCCAGGTTCAAGAGATTGTCCTGTCTCAGCCTCCTGAGTAGCTGGGATTACAGGTGCCCACCACCACACCCAGCTAATTTTTTGTATGTATGTATGTATGTATGTATGTATGTATGTATGTATTTTATTTATTTATTGAGATGGAGACTTGCTTTGTCACCAAAGCTGTAGTGCAGTGACACAATCTTGGCTCACTGCAACCTCCACCTCCCGGGTTCAAGTGATTCTCCTGCCTCAGCCTCCTGAGTAGTTGGGATTACAGGCATGCGCCAGCATGCGCCACCATGCCAGACTAATTTTGTATTTTTAGTAGAGACAGGGTTTGTCCATGTTGGTCAGGCTGGTCTCGAACTCCCCACCTCAGGTGATCCACCCACCTCGGCCTCCCAGAGTGCTGGGATTACAGGCGTGAGCCACCGTGCCCAGCCTGGAAGTTGTTTTTTTTGAGCCCAGCTCATTTGTGAAAATATCACGTGCTCCTTATTTTCATACCCAAATTTCTCATATCCATAAACTTCCACATTTTATTTCTGTCAGAAGTATACAATCTCTTTCTAGATTTCCACCTCCTGTCAAAGGTATTTCCTTCTTTTGTTTGACATAAATGAATCAATCTAGTCTGTTATTACTTAAAGAAGTTTTTTAAAACCCAGTGTGTCAACCTATCTCTCTGCTCTTTTAACTTCCTTTACTTCTTTGTACTGCATAACTCTCCTAAACTCAAACTTATATTATTAGTAGCTTATCTGCAAAGAGGGAGAAGGGGTATCATGGAGTTGGGAGCTCCAGAGGAGGCAAAGGTTTTGGGTCACGGGAGAGTGCCATTGAGAACGGACAATGGATGCTGAGAAGGACAATGAGAATCAGTGGAAATAAGGCAACAGGAATTTGTGCTGAACATGGTCACCCTGGTTTCATGATTCTCCACAACAATATGGGAAGCTCAGAGGCAAAGAAAAAAACAAAAAACAAAAAACAGAGAGACCAGGGCTGATGGCAGGCATGGTAAACCTGGTCATGCCCCTCCTCTGCTTACAGTCCGTCAGAGGCTTCCCATTCCTTCAAGAAGACCTTCCAGATCCTTCACCGTCCGGCAGTGCCCATTTCTCCAGCTTCCTCGTGTATCACTCTCCCTTGGGCTTTCAAACTTCCATCACCCTGGCCGACTCTTTTCATACTCATGGCTTTTGCACATTCTGTTCCTTTTATCTATGTGTTATCTTCACTTCCAACCCTTGGCTTCAGCTTAAAAATCACTTCCTCAGAAAAGCCTTTCCTGGCCGGGCTTGATGGCTCACACCCGTAATCCCAGCAGTTAGGGAGGTCAAGGCAGGCGGATCACCTGAGGTCAGGAGTTCAAGACCAGCATGGCCAACATGGAGAAACCCCGTCTCTACTAAAAATACAAAAATTAGCCGGGTGTGGTGGCGTATGCCTGTAATCCCAGCTACTCAGGAGGCTGAGGCAGGCGAATCACTTGAATCCAGGAGGCGGAGGTTGCGGTGAGCCGAGGTCGCGCCATTGCACTCCAGCCTGGGCAACAAGAGAGAAACTCTGTCTCAAAAAAAAAAAAAAAAAAGAAAAAAAGAAAAAGAAAAAGAAAGAAAAGGCTTTCCTGACCCCTAATCCAATCAGAACTCTAACCATATAGTCTCTCAACATGTGCTTTACTTCTCTTTTATCGGATCTATCACAATTATATGTTTATTTGTACAAATGCCCTTTTCATACATAGAAATAGCTCTGTAGAGGCAAGCATGGGGTCTATTTTGTTCACTGCTGAATTCCCGGCACCTAGCTTGAGTACCTGTCGCTAACAGGAACAGGTGTTCAATAAATGTATTGACTAGCTTAATGAACGGCAGGAAGACTTAGGTATACGGCCTTAGGCAAATTTTTATTTTGTTGCTTGTTTTAACTAGATCTTCATCTCCTATCTGTTAGATGGGTATAGTAATAAAAACTAACAACCTCAGAATTGCTGTGTGAATTAAAAGAGACAATGCATGTAACATGCTTCGAATGGTACCTGTCATATAGTAAGGGCTAGGAAATTTTCCTTCTTATTATCATCATTAAAAATAAGCTCTCTGAGCAAACAGAACTCTCATACATTGCTGGTAGCAATGTGAAAGTGATACAGCCACTTTGGAAAACAGTTTACCAGTTTCTTAGAAAGTTAAACACAGACATATCATATAACACAGCAATCCCACATCTACATATTTACCCAAGTGACATGAAAACTTATGTTCACACAAAAATCTGTACATGAATGTTTATAGCAGCTTTATTCATAATTGCCAAAAACTGGAAAAACCCATATGTCCTTCAACCAGGGACTAGATAAACAAATAGTGGTGTATTCATCTAGTGGAATACCAGCAAGAAGACATGAACCACAGATACATGCAACAACATGGATGAATTTTAGATACTTTATGACAGATGAAAGAAGCCAGACTGAAAAGGTGTCATACTGTATGATTCCATCTATATGATATTCTGGAAATATCAAAACTATAGGGACAGGCCAGGCGTGGTGGCTCATGCCTGTAACCCCAGCACTTTGGGAGCCTGATGCTGGCAGATCACCTGAGGTCAGGAGTTTGAGACCATCCTGGGCAACATGATGAAACCCTGTCTCTACTAAAAATACAAAAATTAGCCAGGTGTGGTGGCACGTGCCTGTCATCCCAGCTACTCAGGAGGCTGAGGCAGGAGAATCGCTTGAACCCGGGAGGCGGAGGTTGCAGTGAGCTGAGATTGCACCACTGCACTCCAGCCTGGGTGATAGAGCGAGACTCCGTCTCAAAAAAACAAAAACAAAAACAAAAACTATAGGGACAGAAATCAAGTCAGTGGTTGCCAGTGGATGGGGTGAGGCAAGAGGGAATTTGGGGGAATGAAATTGTCCTATAACTAGATTGTGGTAGTAGTTACATGGTTATATACATTTATTTATTTTGTTTTATTATTGTTTTCTTATTATTTGTTTGTTTGTTTTGAGATGGAGTCTTGCTCTGTCACCCAGGCTGGAGTGCAATGGTGCAATCTTGGCTCACTGCAACCTCCACCTCTCGGGTTCAAGTGATTCTGTGCACCACCACGGCCAGCTACGTTTTGTATTTTTAGTAGATAGAGACGGGTTTTACCATGTTGGCCAGGCTGGTCTCGAACCCCTGACCTCAAGTGATCTGGCAGCCTCGGCCTCCCCACGTGCTGGGATTATAGGCGTGAGTCACCATGCCCAGTCGTTTATACACATTTATCAAAACTCACTGCATCATAAATTGCAAGAGTAAATTTTACTGTATGTAAATATCTTAATTTTTTAAAGGAAAAAAAAAGTCCAAAATAAGTAGCTATAATTACCTTTTCCTTTTAGAAAAAGGCATTCATATTTTCTGAGCATGAGAGAACTACAGGCTCATTGTAGACATTTGGGAAAATGTACAAAGGATGTACATTCATCACGTGCAGAAAAGTAATATTTCCTTGCTGTGAGCTTTATTGGCACAGAATACACACAAAGCTGGGACCATGCTATGCATTTTTTAAATGAAATTATACATTTTGCTTTCTGAAATATATTGTGCATATTTTTCATGTCATTAATTTTCAAAATCATGATTTTATGAATCAATAATATTCTATGTTTACTTAAGAGACAGAGTCTCCCTTTGTGGCCCAGGCTGGAGTGCAGTGGCGCAAAGGAATCATTCCTCACTGCAGCCTCAAACTCCTGGGCTCAAGCGATCCTCAGTGGTGGGATGAGATCTAGACCCCTGATATTCAATCTCAGAAAGTCAATAATTCCCTGCCTCAGCCTCCTGAGTAGCTGGGGCTGCAGGCCTGTGCCACTGCACCAGGTTCAATGTATATTTTATTTTGTCTTTTTTTTCTTTTTTTAATGTATATTTTTTAGCATTCCTTTGTTGTTAGAAATTACATTGTTTATATAATTATTATTTGTCAATTAAAAATAAAAGAAAAAATCATACTGCTCCTATTTTTTACTTTGAGCAACTCTGATAACAACAACAAAAAAAAGTTCAGTGGGGCCAACGCGTTTCCCTCCTGGAGTTTCCCGGTTCACCTGGTGGAGCGGGTCCTCCTTGGGCTGCAATTCCCTCCTTCTTTTCAGTGTCTGCAGGAAAGGTGGTTTCACAGGGTGATCGGTGATCTGGCTTATTTGTTCCTTTGTGGGGGTAAGGGCTGGGCACCTCACTATTTCCTGTATTACCAGCTTGAATTTACATCGCGCTGTTAATGTTTAATCCTCTCCACATCGACGCGGGGTAGTAATTTGTTCCAAGTCACACAACTTATCAATGGTGGACTATTCAGGACTTAGATCCCGGATATTCAACCTCAGTAAACGTCTCCCCAGCTCCAGGGCGCTGCGTCATCTGGCTTTAAAAAAACGTTTCTGGCCGGGCGCAGTAGCTCACGCCTGTCATCCCAGCACTTTGGGAGGCCGAGGCGGGCGGATCACGAGGTCAAGAGTTCGAGACCAGCCTGGCCAACATGGTGAAACCTCGTCTCCACTAAAAATACAAAAATTAGCTGGGCGTGGTGGCGGGCGCCTGTAATCCCAGCTACTCGGGAGGCTGAGACAGGAGAATCGCTTGAACCCAGCAGGCGGGGTTGCAGTGAGCCGAGATCGCGCCGTTGCACTCCAGCCTGGGCAACAAGTAAGACTCCGTCTCAAAAAAAAAAAAAAAAAAAAAAAAGACGTTTCTCCCCATAAGGAGGCTGCAGTCACCTCGAAAAGCTTCTGCGCAGAGCCCGGCGCACGGGGAATTTCTATCGAGTGGGCACTGTCCCGTCCTACGAATGTCCTTGGCGACATCGCCACTCGCCAGCTGGGATCACGTCGCCCCCGTGGCCGGGGACACCCGCTGCCACTGACCGAGGGGGCCCCGGGAGCTGAGAGGTCGCCGCTGCGCTGCCCGCGGAGGCTGTGGGCTGCGGTTGGCGACGCCGCAGGGCTGACTTTCATCCGGGCGTCCTGCTGGAGGCCAGACCCTACCCCAACCTCGGGGTCCTCAGTGCGGGGCGCGCCTTGGGGAGGGAAGAGGCCCCGCCCATCCTAAGGACGCGCTGAGGCCACGCGGGGCCGCCGGGATACTGCGTTGCCCGGGAGACACCTGACGTGACAGGAACGCCGCCAGTCTCAGTCCGCCGTGATCCCACAGTTCCCCGGTCCCGGAAGTGCCCTGGCCTGCCGGAAGTGCCGGAGCGGCTGACAGAGCGGCTGACGGAGCCGGGCTCACCAGGTCGCTGCCGCGAGGGAGTTGCTGTGCTGGGGCCTGGGTGGCGGCTGGAGGCCTGAGTTGGGCTCGCGGCGGGGGTCGGCAGGGGGCCGGGTGGCGGAATGATGGAGGAGGAGGAACTGGAGTTCGTGGAGGAGCTGGAAGCCGTGCTGCAGCTCACGCCCGAGGTGCAGCTGGCCATCGAGCAGGTAAGCGTTCCGCCCCTCAGGAGGGGAAACGGGAGTGCGGGAGGGGAGACGGCAGCTCCGGGCGCTGGGGAGGCCGCGGCGGGTGGACGGAGGGCCGGGGGCTCGCGGCAGAAGGGAAAGTGGAGGTGGGGAGGTGGTGCGGGTGAGAAGCGGTTTCTGAATCAGAAGGAAAGGAAAGAGAACCCTTTCTAGGCTTTGATTGTCTTTGGCGAGGGCTGGGGGTTCTGGTGGTTTTGGGGAAAGGAATTGTGCGCTTAGAGAGGACGACGCTAGGAGAATGCAGGCCTTGGGTGCCATCCTCAGATTCTGGGGACTGTGGGGGCTTCATGCATTTACCAGACTCGTGCCAACGCCCCGGTTTTGCAAGCTGGCACCTCGTGAGTGGCTTGGAACTGGGGGAAGGGAATGACTTTAATTTCTGAAGCGGACGGCAGAGAAGAGAGAAAGTGTTGAAAAATGACATCGTTACCATTCTTAAAAGGTTGAGAATTCCTACCGTTGAATAGTTTGGGTGAGGTTGGAGAATACTCCCAAGGGGCCTCTTTTCCCTTCAGGAACTTTTTTTTTTTTTTTTTTTTGAGACGGATTCTCGCTCTGTCGCCCGGGCTGGAGTGCAACGGCACGATCTCGGCTCACTGCGACCTCCGCCTCCCGAGTTCAAGCGATTCTCCTGTCTCAGCCTCCTGAGTAGCTGTGATTACAGGCGCACGCCACCACACCCGGCTAATTTTTTTTTTTTTTTGGGGTAAAGACGGGGGTTTCACCGTTTTGGCCAGGATGGTCTCGAACTCCTGAGCTCAAGTAACCCGCCCGCCTTGGCCTCCCAAAGTGCTGGGATTACAGGCGTGAGCCACCACGCGCGGCCCTGCCTGCAGGAACTCTTGCCTTTGCAAGTTTATTGAGTTTTTAAGGCTAATGATATTAGAAATAGTGATTTTTTTCTTTTCTTTTTTTCTTTTTTTTTGTTTTCTGAGACGGAGTCTCGCTCTTTCGCCCAGGTTGGAGTGTAGGGGTGCCATCTCGGCTCACTGCAACCTCCGCTTCCAGGTTCAAGTGATTCTCCTGCCTCAGCCTCCTGAGTAGCTGGGACTACAGGCAACCGCTACCATGCCTAGCTAATTTTTGTATTTTTAGTAGAGACCGGGTTTCACCATGTTGGCCAGGCTGGTCTTGAACTCCTGACCTCAGGCTATCCGCCCGCCTCGGCCTCCCAAAGTGCTGGGATTACAGGTGTGAGCCACTGCACCCGGTCAGAAATAGTGATTTCTAATACTGCAGGGTATTGCTCCTGATAAACGGAGAAAATCTCCCTTAAAGGAATTGTCATGAAGTTATATGATTTAAGAAAGGGATTTATGATTGAGGAAATGGACAATTCCATTATGCCTTATTTAATGACCCCTGGGAAACTTTTTTTTTTTGAGATAGGGTCTTGCTCTGTTGTCCAGGCTGGAGTACAGTGGCATAATCGTAGCTCACTGCAGCCTCGAACTCCTGGGGCTCAAGTGATAACCCTGCCTCAGCCTCCCGAGTAGCTGGGACTACAGGTGCATTCATTGACGCTTCGATGTGTGTTTTTCCAGTAGTGGTTGGATTACTTATACAACCAACTTTGTCCTAGCCTGAGAACGCCAAACCATTGGGCAGGAAGCTTTTAGTGTTCCGGCCACACGGCTCCACCACTTACCTCCTTTTGCCAGAAAAAGACATAACATTTCTGTTGCTCTTTGGACTAGTGGGCTCTCATGGAAGAAAAGAATAATGCAGTCAGTTACTGTTTGGTTGACAGGTATCAGAAAAGCACATTTTTGCTATTTCTTTTGTTTGTTTCAACAGCTTTTGGGGTACAGGTGGTTTTTGATTACATGGATGAATTACATAGCGGTGAATTCTGACATTTTTCCTATTTTGTAAGAATAAGTTTGAGTGATAGTATAGCAGACATCTTTATGTCAAGCAGAATTCAGACATCATTATGTCAAGATGAATTCAGAATTTTTTCTTACTTTAGCACTCTGAATGAAATTCTGTAGTAGCATACTTGTAAAGAGTAGTGATGTGTGAGGAGTCAGGAAGGGTTGATAAAATGGAATCACATTTTACTCCAAGATGAAGTCCCAGAGTCATTGCATAAGGTGAAAATTGGCTGGGCTCGGTGGCTCACACCTGTAATCCCAGCACTTTGGGAGGCCAGGGCGGGTGGATCACGATGTCAGGAGTTCAAGACCAGCCTGGCCAACATGGTGAAACCCCGTCTCTCCTAAAAATACAAAAATTTAGCTGGGCATGGTGGCAGGTGCCCGTAATCTCAGCTACTCGGGAGGTTGAGGCAAAGAACTGCTTGAACCCGGGAGGCAGAGGTTGCAGTGAGCTGAGATGGTGCCACTGCCTTCCAGCCTGAGCGACAGAGTGAGACTCCATCTCGAAAAAAAAAAAAAAAAAAAAGGCGAAAGTCACTCTAGACATGAAAATCACTCTGCCCTGAAGTTCTTTAAATTGCCCATGAAGGCCGGGTGTGGAGGCTCACGCCTGTAATCCCAGCACTTTGGGAGGCCGAGGCGGGTGGATCACAAGTTCAGGAGATTGAGACCATCCTGGCCAACACGGTGAAACCCCTTCTCTACTAAAAACACAAAAAATAAGCCGGGTATGGTGGCGAGCGCCTGTAGTCCCACCTTCTCAAGAGGCTGAGACAGGAGAATGGCATGAACCTGGGAGGTGGAGCTTGTAGTGAACCAAGATCGCGCTACTGCACTCCAGCCTGGGTGACAGCGCGAGACTCCGTGTCAAAAAAAAAAAAAAAAATTGCCCATGAAGTACCACGTATGCATCTCTGATAAGTCTAGGGCTGTTAGTTTTTTTCCTCCATCATTGGAACCAGTCATTCTTTTTTCAGCTGGCTTTTGTTAGGAGCCTTGTTACATGAAAACAATTTAAAACCTAGGACAGCACTAAAACCTAGGAGTCGTGAGAGGAATACAGAAACTGAGAGCAACTTGAGGAAATAGTTTGTATCTCTTGTATCCTGCTCTCTGTGGGTTATACTTTCCCTCTGGTGAGCACGTATCATTGAGACTGTGTAAATAACCTGTGTATATGTGCATTATGGAAACAGCAATGCTGAACATTTTAAAAAGAAAACATCTTCACTTTCTTCTCATCCACCTCCTCTTGATGTGGTAGAAGGCTTCAGCTTTTCTAACAGTTGTCTTGAAGATATTTTGATTTTTTGACTCTATATTTCTTTGGAAGGCTTCTTCAGAGATGAAGTTGCTTCCCACAGTTGTAACTCTATCAAGCTGGGTGAGACCCAGTGTCCAGTGGATAATTTGGCTGCTTGTATCATCCACCTTGTTGCGTGTTCTTCAGGTTGTTAGGGAGTTAGCTGTATGTCTTAGAGGTGGACTGTTTTTGAGAGAGGATCTCACTCTGTCGCCCAGGCTGGAGTTCAGTGATAGAATCTCGGCTCACTGCAACCTCAACCTCCTGGGCTCTGGTGATCCTCCCATCTCAGCCTCCCACGTAGCTGGGACTATGACAGGCATGTGCCATGGCACCCAGCTAATTTTTTTTTGTAGAGATGTGGTTTCACCATGTTGCCCAGGCCAGTCTCCAACTCCTGAGCTCAAGCGATCCGCGCAGCCTTATTTTAATTAATTAATTAATTAATTTAATTTTGAGACAGAGTCTTGCTCTTTCGCCCAGACTGGAGTGTAGTGGTGTGATCTCGGCTCACTGTAACCTCCGCCTCCCGGGTTCAAGCAATTCTCCTGCCTCAGCCTCCTGAGTAGTTGGGATTACAGGTGTGCGCCAACACCACACCCAGCCAAGTTTTTATTTTTAGTAGAGACCTGACCTCAGGTGATCCATCTGCTTTGGCCTCCCAAAGTGCTGTGATTACAGGCATGAGCCACCGTGCCCGGCCCTTTCCTTTTAATTGACAAATTAAAATTATATATATTTACGGTATACTACATGTTTTTATATATACTCCTCTCTTTCTATATAGGTGTTTCCAAGCCAGGACCCTCTAGATCGAGCAGATTTCAATGCTGTTGAGTATATCAATACCCTGTTCCCAACCGAGCAAGTAAGTAGAGTTTCAGGTTTCCTTCCTTTCAGCAGCTTTTGGCACATCTTGGGTGTTATGCTTCGTGTGTTACACTAGATCATCTACGGGCCCTTGATACACAAGGGAGAGTTAAATTCAAATCAAACTCCATCATCACCAGCTGGGGCAGTGAGCTACACTGTGTTGGAATGGAATTCATTGTATAGTGAACATATTATTAATAATTGTACTCTTAGGTTGTGAGAGTCCTCCCAAATTTTCTGCTGTAAATTGAAAGTGGAAAGGATTTTTATAATGTAGTAGGGACAAGTGGGGGTGAGGCAGGCAGGATAAGCCCAGAATCATAAAGCCACTTTCACCTCTATTTCAAGATGTAAATTTTTATTTCTATTTATTAGTTTTTTTGAGACGGAGTTTTGCTGTTGTCGTTCAGGCTGGAGTGCAATGGCGCGGTCTCGGCTCACTGCAACGTCTGCCTCCTGGGTTCAGGCGATTCTTCTGCCTCAGCCTCCTGAGTAGCTGGCACTATAGGTACCCACCATCACGCCTGGCTAATTTTTGTGATTTTAGTAGAGACGGGGTTTCAGCATGTTGGCCAGGCTGGTCTCAAACTCCTGACCTCGTGATCCACCTGCCTTGGCCCCCTAAAGTGCTGGGATTACAGGCGTGAGCCACTGCGCCCGGCCTCAAGATACAGATTTTTAGACTTCACGTTTTATTATTTTTTGTCCGGTGATTTTCCTGTGGAGATGGATTTTCTTACAAAATTGGTTTTTGGGTGTTTGGGTGAGAAGTAGACCAGAACTGGAAGTAGCAGAGTTGGGAGAAGGGCAGTGAGAGTCCCGCTTCGTTTCCATTTTTTCAGTCAGCAGTTGTTCAGTAGGTGCCTGTCATGTGTTGTCAGTCACTGTGCTAGGTGCTGAGGGTGCAGAGATGATAAGGTCCAGTCCATGCCCTTGAGGTGTGCAGGATCAAGTGGTGGGAGACCCTGGCGAATGCCGTCAGTGACAGTGGGACAGTGCGGTAAGGAAACAAAGACCAGTTCTTCCAAGGAAAATCACAACTTCAGAGAGGAGGTAGCCTGTCTGCCGAGCTTGAGGGATTCATTCATGTATTCATTTAGTAAAACGTAGCAGTCGTTTATTAAATGTCTGCTAAGTGTCAGGTATTATTTTTAGAAACTAGGGAGAAATGTAAACATGACAAATCTGGTCTTGGTCTTATGGAGTCTAGTGTAGGGAGAAAGACAAGAAATAAACCAACAAATACACTAGAGATGATCAAACATGGTGGCCGTGATACCAGGCAGGTTCCGTGACAGAGCGTGCTGCGCCGTGATACCAGGCAGGTTCCGTGACAGAGCGTGATGCGCCGTGATACCAGGCAGGTTCCGTGACAGAGCGTGCTGCGGAGGGTCCTTTAAATAAAGGGGCTTAACGGGAAGTTCTCTGTGAGGTGGTTCCCTCTAAGCTGAGACCTGATGGACAGGAAGGAGTCAAGCTTGCAGCAGTCTGGCAGAACAGTATTCTAGACAGAGCCAGCAGCTAGGTATCTCTTCCAGGATGATGAGGGAAGGAAGGCGTGGGCGGAAAGAAACCCAGGTGCCGAGGCAAGAGACTGAAGGCACAACCTGTTCCAATATAATAAAGAAAATAGTTAAATAAGTAGAGTTATAATAGAAATAGGATATAGAGATGATTGTATATGGATATTATCAATCATTAGTCTTTAGTATTAATCTTTGTTTCATTATTACGACCAAGGAAAAACCAGGCCATACAGAGTCAGGAGACCAGAAGACAACAGTGAGAACCTCTGTCATGCCTGGATAAGGGCTGCTTGAAGGCACCTTGGTCTTGCGGTAGTGCCAGTGCCTGGGAAGGCACCCGTTACTTAGCGGACTGTGAAAGGGAGTCTCCCTTTCCCTGGGGGAGTTAGAGAACACTCTGCTCCACCAGCTCTCGTGGGGGGCCTGACATTCCCCAGGCCTGCCCACAGTCATCCGGAGGCTTCAGCATCTCCCTGTGGTGCTGTGCTTCAGTGGTCATGCTCCTGGTCCACTTTCATGTTCCACCTGTACACCTGGCTCCTCCTTTAAGTTCTTAGAAGATAGCAGTAGCAGAATTAGTGAAAGTGTTAAAGTCTTTGATCTTTCTGATAAGTGCAAAGAAAAAATGCTGACGTCTGCTGTCCTCCCTCTCTGCTTCGGCTACCACAAAGGGAAGGGCCCCCTGTCACGTGGACATGTGACTTGCTTGACCTTGTCAATCATTTGAGATGACCCACACTCCTTACCCTGCCTCCTTGCCTTGTATACAATAAATAGCAGTGGGTCCAGGCATTCGGGGCCACTATTGGACTCTGTGCATTGGTGGTAGTGGTGCCCCGGGCCCAGCTGTCTTTCCTACTACTTCTTAGTTTCGTGTCTTTCTACAATCTCTCGTCTCCGCACACGAAGAGAAAACCCACAAGGCCCCGTAGGGCTGGACCCTACAGAAGGCCCTTCTAAACACAGGACCAAGGCACAGAAACAGGAGACATAAGATGTGCACAGTGAGCAGAGACTCACAGGAGATGAGGCTGAGGAGGGAGAGCAAGGATCCTGGAGGATCTCTGTCCTCTAGGCTTATCGTTGCCAGTTTTTTTGGAGACCACATGCCTTTCAGTGAAATGCTTTTTTTCTTTCTTCCTTTTTTTTTTTTTTTTGAAAGAGAGTTTTACTCTGTTGCCCAGGTTGGAGTGCAGTGGCACAATCACAGTAACTGTGAACTCCCGAACTCTAGCGCTCCCACTACATCGGCCTTCTGAGTAGCTGCGACTACAGGCGCATGCCACCACACACAGCTAAGTTTTAAAATTTTTTTAGTAGAGACGAGATCTCACTACGAAGCCCAGGCTGGTCTCGAACTCCTGAGCTAATGTGATCCTCCCGCCTCAGCCTCCCAAAATGTTGGGATTACAGGCATGAGCCACTGCACCTGGCCCAAATATTTTTCACAGAACTGATTTTCTTTTTTTTTTTTTTTTTTTGAGACAAAGTCTCATTCTTGTCCCCCAGGCTGGAGTGCAATGGCATGATCTCGGCTCACTGCAACCTCTGCCTCCTGGGTTCAAGTGATTCTCCTGTGTCAGCCTCCTGAGCAGCTGGGATTACAGGGGCCTGCCACTACGCGGCTAATTTTTGTATTTTTAGTAGAGATGGGGTTTCACCATGTTGGCCAGGCTGGTCTCAAATTCCTGACCTCAGGTGATCCGCCCGCCTCGGCCTCCCAAAGTGCTGGGATGACAGGCGTGAGCCACCGCGCCCGACCCACAGAGCTGATTTTCACTTGGATAATTTTTAAGCCTGTATCCCCAGAATATTATATACATATGTGAGTACCAATTTTAAATGTTAGGCTTCAGTAGTATTTGCTATATAAATAGAAAATAAACATAGAGGCTTCAGTGTTTGCTCCTCACACCCCAGGGGGCAGTGTGGCAGACCCCGTGGGGACGTTCGCACCCTGCTCTGGAGGTTGCTGCTGTAGGCAGTGAGTATTCATTGAAGGACTTTTGGCAGGATAATGACTGGAGCACATTCACGTTTTTAAAATTCCGTCTGGCAGCCATGTGGAGGACGAGCAAGGGATGGAGGTGGGGAGAGACTACAGGCAGGAGACTCACGCAGTAGATCACTGGAAAGAGATGGTGAGACCTGGAGAAAAGCTGTGGGATAGAGAGAACCAGATCTGAGAGCTATTGAGGGGACCAAAGTCATGCAGTTTGGTACCTGAGGGCATGAAAGTAGAGGGTCATGGAGAATCCAAAATTCACTCATTCGTTTATTCAGTTAAAAAAACACCCACTCTACCTAGCTTTATAAGAAATCTGGGGTAGAGAAGTGAGCAAGACAGATATAGTCTACCAACACAGACTTCATAGTCTATCTTGATAGTTAATCTCACAGTAACAGATTATAGGTAAATTATGATGTTACAATGACTTGCTTGTGTAATTTTTTTTTTTTTTTTTTGAGACTGAGTCTCACTCTGTTGCCAGGATGGAATGCAGTAGCACAATCCCGGCTCACTGCAACCTCCAACTCCTGGGTTCAAGCGATTCTCCCGCCTCAGCCTCCTGAGTAGCTGAGTTTACAGACACGCGCCACCAAGCCTGGCTAATTTTTGTATTTTTAGTAGAGACGGGGTTTCACCATGTTGGCCAGGATGGTTTCAATCTCTTGACCTTGTGATCTGCCCACCTTGACCTCCCAAAGTGCTGGGATTACAGGCGTGAGCCACCACGCCTGGCCTGACTTGCTCATATAATTTTTAAATATTATTTGTCACTTGCTCTTATATAACCTTTACTACAACTGTAATAGTAATCTTTATTAGATACTTCCTGTGTACCCGACAGCACTCTAGGCACTAAACAGTGATAAACTCCACTTTGTTATCCTTCTTATTTTAGAGTAAGAATCACGAGGCACGGAAAGATAACACTCGGCTTAAATGTGATAGCGTTGCCATGAAGGAAGCATGCCAAATACAGTGACAGCAGAACCCAGGGCCTTACTTGCTCAAGATGGATTGAAAAGGCTTACTCCCTTGAGGAAATGGTGTTTTAGCTGAATACTACAGGCCAAGTTAATAATTTTTTTTTGAGATGGGGTCTCACTCTCTTGCCCGGGCTAGAGTGCAGTGGCACAATCATAGCTCACTGCAACCTCAAATTCCTGGACTCAAGCACTCCTCCCACTTCAGCCTCCTCAGTAGCTAGCACTACAGGTGTGTGCCACCACACCCAGCTGAGTATTATTATTATTTTGAGATGGAGTCTTGCTTTGTCACCAGGTTGGGGTGGGGTGGTGCCATCTCGGCTCACTGCAACCTCCCACTCCCTGGTTCAAGCAATTCCCCTGTCTTAGCCTCCCGAGTAGCTGAGATTATAGGCACGCGCCACCACGCCCAGCCAATTTCTGTATTTTTAGTAGAGATGGGGTTTCACCATGTTGGCCAGGATAGGATGGTCTCGATCTCCTGACCTCATGATCCATCTGCCCCAGCCTCCCAAAGTGCTGGGATTACAGGAGTGAGCCACCGCGCCCAGCCCCAGCTGATTTTTAATTTTTTTTTTTTTTTTACAGACTGGGCCTTGCTGTGTTGCCCAGGCTGGTCTGGAACTCCTGGCCTCAAGCCACCCTCCTGCCTCAGCCTCTCCGAGTGCTGGGATTACAGATTTGAGCCACTGTGCCTGGCCCTAAGTTAAGAATTTTGAACTGGTTTCTAGGTAGCCAGATTTGGCTGACTGGATGGGTAATGGCAGCTTTCCACTTTACCCAATTACTGAGTGTAAGGAGAAAGAGCAGGTTTCAGTGGCAGGTAGGGCTGGAGTGGGCTGTAAGGTGAGCCCAAGTTTGAACATACTCAGGTCATCCAGGTGGAAATAAGTTGTTGGGTATTTGAGTGCAGAGCTCTTGATCCCCATCATTGTGAATATTTTGGCAGATCCTTCCAAACTTTTTTTAATGGATATACTGATTTTTAAAATAAAGTTTAAAAGATGATATACTGTGTGATTGTCTTTTTTGAGATTTCACGAAAAGCCTTTATAGCTCATCATTTTGTATGAAAGGGGAATTTTAGGAATTAGCTGGAGATAGACATTTGGGAATAGCTAGGATAAAGATAGTAATTGCTGATTCACCAAAACAAAAAGAAGTGTTAGATTTGAAAATTTTGTAGGAAACCACCAGGTTCTCACCTCTTGTGGTGTGTGTGTATGTGCTGTATTTTTTTTTAAACTACTGAAAACTCAAGATCTTTGTTGTTCCACAGATTCAGTTCTGTGTCTTGTCTAATTATGCCCCAGGTATATGATAATGTACAGTCACGTTTCTTAGAGTAACTCAGAACATTTATGACACAGGGTTATCTTTACTTCTCTAGTCTCAGAGTTTCACTTAGCAGGTCATCTGAGTGAAATCTAAGCCAGATTCCTGTGGATCTTAATGAAAAGGTAGTAGAAAGTAGTGGCATAGCTTGAAATTTAACTATTGTCAGATATTGGGCAAAAACCATCTGTATACCTCATGGACCTCCAGTAAACACTTGTACATTATGAGTTTAGATTGTTTAAAGTAGATTTCAGTATTTCCAGAGTGAATTTAGTGTTACTGTGAGGAGGAGGGTGAGAATATGTTTCTGTTGAGTGGAAGTACTTGTGTGTCTGCGGTTGTCTGGAGCCTGTTGAGTGGCCTGGAATGGATGCCTCTTACTATTTCACCCAGCCAGGCCTGAGAGGAGCTTGGGATTTTCCATGCAGCAGAGTGCCTGTGGGGTTTAAATAGTAGCCAGGTTTGGTCGCAGTGGTCTAGAAAATCGTTTTAGCCTCCTAATAGTAAACTGAAGATAATCATTTGAAAGTTTGATTAGAGGAAACTAAATGAAATTTATGGAAAACTAATACAAAACTAACATAATTAGGAACTTTGAGAAAAGAGTTATATGGGGATGTTTCTAAAGAGTTTCTGGTGACCCCAAAAATGCTCTGGATCTGTATTGTTAAGAGAAAAAAAAACCCAAGATCCAGCTCATGGCTGTATTCTCTAATCCCAGCACTTTGGGAGACCAAGGCGGGTGGATCACTGAGGCAGGAGGATCGCTTGAGCCTGGGAGGTGGAAGTTGCAGTCAGCTGAGATCGTGCCACTGCACTGCAGCCTGGGTGACAGAATGAGATCCTGCCTTAAAAAAAAAAAAAAAAGATGCCAAATTGCTTATCATCCCAGTTTATTTTTGTACAGCTATACAGTTTCGTAGTAGAAGGCAATACGCAAAAATTCTGATTGTGGTCATACTGTCCTGGGTGTGCAGATGACTACCTATTTTCTGTAATTGTCAAGAATTACCATTAGAATCAGGAAATATTTTGCAATAACTAAAACATTTAAAAAGTAAACAAAACTGTACAACCACATTATAACTAAACGAGATGAGTGATTCTCAAAGCAGGATAAACCCCTCTGCCCAGCCAATGTGGATTCCCACAGGGCTTTTCCCCAACTCCAGGAGAGGCCCTCGACCCTGGTGAGGATCACTGCCATAGCCAGACACTGAACTAACTGATGAGAGTGGGTGTGTCATAGCTGTCCGGT
This sequence comes from Homo sapiens, assembly GCF_000001405.40. Lineage (NCBI taxonomy): Eukaryota > Metazoa > Chordata > Mammalia > Primates > Hominidae > Homo > Homo sapiens. Next base: position 262,888 of record NW_017363817.1, on the reverse strand, counting down.
GTCTTGGGGTGCAGGAAAATTAGGTCAAGAATCATTGCGTTAGAGGTAGATGCTAGAGTAAGAAAGAGGATCTCTGCAGCTTCAGGCAAAGCACCTGTCCTGCAGAGCACGTTTCCCATCTGTTTTTTATTTGAGGTGGGATCTCTGCAGCTTCAGGCAAAGCACCTGTCCTGCAGAGCACGTTTCCCATCTGTTTTTTATTTGAGGTGGGTTCCCACTCTGTCACCTAGGTTGGAATGCAGTGGTGTGATCTCGGCTCGCTGCAACCTCTGCCTCCCAGGCTCAAGCGATCCTCCCACCTCAGCCTCCTGAGTAGCTGGGACCACAGGTGTGCACCAGCAAGCCCAGGTAGTTTTTTGTATTTTTGGTAGAGACAGGGTTTTGCCAGGTTGCCCAGAGACTGGTCTTGAACTGCTGAGCTTAGGAAACCCACGTACCTTGGCCTCCCAAAGTGTTGGGATTACAGGCATGAGCCACCATGCCCGGCCTCCGCCTCCATAGTTCCCAATCTTAACGTTGAAGAGGAGAAAAGTGTGCCTCGCCTGGCAGAGGGGATTAAGGGAAATAATTTCTGTGAAGTGCCTGCAATTGTTGCCTAGGAGATCCACATTAAATGCTAGCAGCCTTTCCCTTTCCCCTCCAGCAGAAAGCCTGGAAATGAAGGGAAAACAGTCACCCAAAGGCCACCTGACTATCAAATAGTGTAACTTTAGGATATTTCTTTCTCTTCTATTTATTTATTTATTGAGACAGAGTCTCCTTCTGTTATCCAGGCTGGAGTGCAGTGGCGCGATCTCGGCTCACCGCAACCTCTGCTTCCTGGGTTCAAGCAGTTCTCCTGCCTCAGCCTCCCGAGTAGCTGGGATTACAGGCACCTGCCACCACGCCCGGCTAATTTTTTTTTGTATTTTTAGTAGAGACGGGGTTTCACCATATTGGCCTGGCTGGTCTCGAACTCCTGACCTTGTGATCCGCCCACCTCGGCCTCAAAGTGCTGGGATTACAGGCATGAGCCACCGCGCCCAGCCTATTTTTATTTTATTTTTATTTATTTTTTCTTTTTGAGATTGTCACCCATCACCCAGGCTACAGTTCAGTGGCTCCATCACAGCTCACTGTGCCCTGGAATTTACAGACTCAATCAGTCTTCTTTCCTCAGCCTAATAAGCAGATTGTACTACAGGCGTGTGCTACCATACCCGGCTAATTTTTCTATTTTTTTGTAGAGACGGAGTTTCACCACGTTGTCCAGGTTGGTCTCTAACTCTTGGGCTCTAGCAGTCCACCCACCTCAGCCTCCCAAAGGACAGACATAAGCCTCCACACCCGGCCTCTGTTCTTTTTAAAAGCTACATTCATTATATTATAAAAATGATATTATAGGGCCGGGTGCACTGCCTCATGCCTGTAATCCCAGTGCTTTGGGAGGCCAAGGCGGGAGCATTGCTTGAAGCCAGGAATTCAAGATCAGCTTGGACAGCATAGCAAGACCCTGTGTTTATAACAAAATAATAAAATTAGCCAGGCTCAGTGCATGTACCTTTTTGTTCCTAGCCACTCAGGAGGCTGGGGTGGGAGGATTGCTTGAGCCCAGGAGTTTGAGGTTACAGTGAGCTATGATTGCACCACTGCACTCCAGCCTTGGTGACAGAGTGAGCCGCCATCTTAAAGGTAGGCTATTTGATATTATAAAAATACTTGCTATCATAAAATGATATTAGAAATGTTTTCCTCTTGGCCAGGCGCGGTGGCTCATACCTGTAATCCTAGCACTTTGGGAGGCCAAGGCGGGCAGATCACGAGGTCAAGAGATCGAGACCATCCTGGCCAACGTGGTGAAACCCCGTCTCTACTAAAAATACAAAAATTAGCTGGGCGTGGTGGCATGTGCCTGTAATCCCAGCTACTCGGGAGGCTGAGGCAGGAGAATCGCTTGAACCAGGGAGTCGGAGGTTGCAGTGAGCCGAGATCGCGCCATTGCACTCCAGCCTGGTGACAGAGCTAGTCTCCATCACACACAAAAATATATGTATATATATAATTATATATAAATTAAAGTAATTTTTCTGAGATTCGTTTTTCTTTTTTTTTGAGACAGGGCTGTTTAGCCCAGGCTGGAGTGCAGTGGTGCAAACATGACTTACTGCAGCCTCGACCTTCTGGGCTCAGGTGATCCTCCCACCTCAGCCTCCTGAGTACCTGGGACTGCAAGCACATGCCACCATGCCTGGCTAACTTTTTTTTATTTTTTGGAGAGATGGGATCTCACTGTATTGTCTGGGCTGGTCTTGAATTCCTGGATTTAAGTGATCCTCCCACCTTAGCCTCCCAAAGTGCTGGGATTACAGGCATGAGCCATCACGTCCAGCCTGAGATTCATTTTTACCTCAAGCTGTTCTTGGATTTCTGAAAATTCTGAGTAACTGTTGGCTTGGTCAGAACAGTAGGATGAGCTGTGACAACCCAGTCTGACATCTCAAACACTCATGGCCTGTTTCTCTTACCAGACCTGCTCCTGGAAGGCACCTGGCCTCCTCCTCCCATCAGAGGTAGCCAGAAGCAATTTATAAGCATATTTCCTACAATATCCCTAATTCCTTCTGAGATAAAATATTTGTTAAGGGAGAGAGGAAGAGGATTTATTAAATTGTATTTTGAAAACTTGAATTAAAATAGTACTATAAAATTGTACCTCCTCTTGTCCATTAGGGGGCACCATTTCCTCACATTTTCTCATCTCTAAGGTCAGAAGTGATCCCTTTGTTTTAATTGTTGTTATAATAAGCTTATTATAATCACAGTAGTAGTGCATAGTCAATAATTATAAAATACAGACAAAAAGAAGAAAATATTTTTTTTTGAGACAGAGTTTTGCTCTTGTTGCCCAGGCTGGAGTGCAATGGCACATTCTCAGCTCACTGCAACCTCTGCCTCCCGGGTTCAAGCGATTCTCCTGCCGCAGCCTCTTGAGTAGTTGGGACAACAGGTGCCCACCACCAAGCCTGCCTAATTTTTTTTTTTTTGTATTTTTAGTAGAGATGGGGTTTCGCCATGACGGTCTGGCTGGTCTCAAACTCCTGACCTCAGGTGATCCGCCTGCCTTGGCCTCCCAAAGTGCTGGGATTACAGGCGTGAGCCACTGCACCCGGCCCAAGAAGAAAAATTTGAAATCACTTCTTTTCATATTGCAATACGTAGTTGATAGATTATAGCTACTAATGCTGCAACTACTAATACATTACAATTACTCCTATCTATCCTTCCAGACTTTTTTCTAGTGGATCTATATAATAAAAAATAAATTTGTGTATTTATTGAAGTATAACATAATACAGAGGAGTACACAAATCTTAAGGGTACAACTTGATGAAGTTTCACAAAATGAACATAGCCATGTAACTGCCACCCAGATCAAGAAATAAAACATTTAAAAAAATCTTCAGAAGGCCTTTCCTTGCCTGTTCACTGTCACTACCTTCCCCCAGAGATAACCACTGTCCTAGCTTCTAACAGGAGAATTATGTTAGTGAAATCATATCCTCTGTCCCCTTGTGTCTGGCTTTTTCTGTGCCCCATTCCGTTAGTAAAATGTTTATCCATGGTGTTGTGCATTCATTCATTTTTGTTGCTGTATTTCGTTACGTGAATTTGTCACAATCACGTACACCATGGGTCAGCAGACTCTCCTGTAAAGGTCCAGATAGTAAATACTTCAGGCTTTGTGGCTGTACAGCGTCTTTCACGACTGCCTACCTGCCATGTTAGCTTAAGAGCAGCCGCAGGCAATATGTAAGTGAACGGGCATGGCTGTGTTCCAGTGAAACTTTATTTACAAAAAACAGGGGCTGGGCTAGATGTGGCTGTAGCTTCCAACTACTGCTTTACTTTTTTTTTTTTTAAAGCAAAACTCATATCATGTGATTAAATTTTTTGAGATTTCATAAGTAGCTATTATAGCACATCATTTTCCTGTGAAAGAGGAATTCCAGGAAGTGGACTAACAGCTGGGCACTCTTCCTTCTTTATTGTAGTCTCTGGCGAACATAGACGAAGTCGTGAACAAAATTAGGCTGAAAATAAGGTGAGTAAAGCTGTGTGATTGTTCATAATTAATGAAAAGTATATTGTTAATTTAGTTAATCACATTCTGGATCACATTTTTCTGTGAGAGCACTGAAATCTCAAGTTTGCCATAGATGGTAATATAATTCCTTTTAAAATTTTTATTATTTATTTATTTATTTTTGAGACGGATTTTTGCTCATTGCCTAGGCTGGAGTGCAATGGTGTGATCTTGGCTCACTGCAACCTCCACCTCCCAGGTTCAAGTGATTCTCCTGCCTTAGCCTCCCTAGTAGCTGGGATTACAGGTGTGAGCCACCACGCCTGGCAAATTTTGTACTTTTAGTAGAGACGGGGTTTCACCATGTTGGTCAGGCTGGTCTCGAACTCCTGACCTCAAGTGATCCACCTGCCTTCGCCTCCCAACGTGCTGGGATGACAGGGGTGAGCCACCGCACCCGGCCATATAATTATTTTATCCATATGAACTTTGTGGCAAGGAACTCAATGCTTTGGCCAGTCTTCAATTCTTCATACAAAAGGAAGGAAGCTGTGATAGAGTCTACTCAAAACATCTTTTGTAATTATAGAAGGAGGCAAAAGCTTTTCTGATAGATTTTTTTTTTCTTTTTTTCTGTTTTTTTTTCAAAACAAGGTCTTACTCTGTGTCCCAGGCTGGAGCGTACTGGTGCAGTTACAGCTCACTGCAGCCTCGAACTCCTGGGCTCAAGTGATCCTCCCACCTCAGCCTCCTGAGTAGCTGGGACTACAGGCGCACCACCACACTTTGCTAATGTTTATATTTTTTGTAGAGATGGGGTTTCGCCTTGTTGGCTAGGCTGGTCTCAAACTGCTGAGCTCAAGCAATCTGCCTGCCTCAGTCTCCCACATCTACTAGATTTTTTTTTTTTTTTTTTGAGATGGAGTCTGGCTCTGTCACCCAGGCTAGAGTGCAGTGGTGTGATCTTGGCTTACTGTAATCTCCACCTCCCAGGTTCGAGCAATTCTTGAGCCTCAGCCACCCAAGTAGCTGGAATTATAGGCATGCACCACCATGCCCAGCTAATTTTTGTGTTTTTAGTAGTTACAGGGTTACACTGTGTTGGCCAGGCTGGTCTTGAACTCCTAGCCTCAAGTGATCTGCCTGCCTTGGCCTCCCAAAGTGCTAGGATTATAGGTGTGAGCCATTCTGTCTGTCCTTCGACTAGCTTTTTAATGGCTTTATTTCCCTGTTTTTGTGGATTTACCTGTTTTTGTGTTCCCAAGGCTTAGACATGAAGATGGGCTTATATGTGTATCCCTTGGTCACATAACAGCTAACCATGTCAGATCTGCTGGTGGGTTGGGTGGTGGCCCATGATTAAACATTGTGAACCGTGGGGGCAGAGGAGCTGGAAGCCGTAGATCTGCCTCAGGCATGGATTGCATGATCAGGGCCCGGAAGCACTGATTCCATCTATCACTCTGGCTCTTTCCGCCTCATAAGGGGACCGAGAAAGGGATTGTGTGTGAGGTAATTTGAGTTATCTGGCATGTTCACGTAAAGGCTCCGGAACTTTGTCATTCCTGATGTACTCCATGAAAAATCCTGCAGATTTTATTAGTCCTTTCAGATAGCTCTGACTATTAAGTGAAAATAGGCATTTTTAACAACAAGGCGATGCATCAGCCTGCACTGGGCTTGACTTCCCGCACGGCTGTCGCTGCCCTCCTCCTGCCTGATGCCACTCACACATGTTTGGTTTTCTGGACAATTAGGTGCAGTCTGCAGAAGTTGATGAATAAATTACTTTTTACTTTTTTTCTTTTGGTCAACCTAGAATAAAGATTATTTGAATGACTGTATCCTTGAACTGTTTTGCTAGGAGACTGGATGACAATATTCGAACTGTTGTAAGAGGTCAGACGAACGTGGGGCAGGATGGACGGCAAGTAAGTAACTCATTCCTCCATATTACCTATGCTCCCCTGGTTTCTCCCGGCAACCAGATGACCAAAACGTCGATGTGCCCTCTTGCAGAGCACTTTCCGATTGATCCGTTTCATACATGGCAGGACAAGACAGGGCAGGCGCCCACAGCAGCCACGTGCTGTCCCTCAGTGTCCCTTGGACCAGGACCGTGAACTGTGGCACCGCTCACCCGAGGCCAGATGAGAACACTGGGGCTTCCTTGTCTTTCTCCTTCGTGTCGGGCATCTCTTGTGCCCTCTTTTATTTTGTGGGCTGTGGCTAAATGAGGTTGCTGCATTCGTCAGCTGAGTTGTTGGGGTTTTGATATTTTGTGGCTGTAAAAGATAGTAACCTGACATAGTTACCATTTCCTCGTACCTCGCTTTGCCAGCAGGCAGGTGACTCAAGATTCATTAAAAAATTTTACAAGTTGGCCGGGCACAGCGGGCACAGCGGCTCACGCCTGTAATCCCAGCTACTCAGGAGGCTGAGGCATGAGAGTCACTTGAACCCAGGAGCCAGAGGTTGCAGTGAGGCGAGATTGCACCGCTGCACTCCAGCATGGACGACAGGGGTGAGACTGTCTCAAAAAAAAAAAAAAAAAAAAGTTTTATAAGTCTTATTGGATCTAGTTAAGGAGGCCATTGGAGGGAATGAAGTAAGTCTTACTGGATCTAGTTAAGGAGGCTGTTGGAGGCAATGAAGGGAAAAGTGTGTAGGGAGGAGATACTCTTTAATAATTGAGGGGCCAGATGTTATCTGTGAACCATTTCCCTTTTTATTTGATTCTGTTCTTCTGTTGAGGCATCGTATTTCAGAATGGCTGTTGTAGTAGAAATGCTGAGCTTGCCTTTCTAGCCGTCCTCTCTTGCCATGTCCTGTCCTCCCTTATCAGCACTAACTCAGGTCAGGACTGCTTCTTTGCAATTGCTTCAATGCTGTGATTTCTCCTCTTTGACATTTTTTAGGACAGCTAATTTCTAAAAATGTTCATCCTGCTGCCCAGATTTGGAGTGGGAGGAGCATATAATCCTACGCTGAAATTTCCAGATCTCTGATATTTCTGTTTCCTTCTGCCAGTTGCTTACAGATATTAGGAGTCTCTTTCTTTTACATCTGTAGTTTTCCCATCTGTCTATTTTTACTACTTTATATCACTTTCTTTTTCCATTTTTCCACTTTATAGTCACTTTCCATTTGATAGCCAGTTTCCTTTGGCCTGTTTGTGAGTAGCTGGCCTTCTTGTCATCATCAGAATTTGTGTGTAGACACATTAGGTTCCTAAAACTGTTCTGGTTTTCTGGACTCCTGTATTTTTTTTAGCCCTCGTTACCTCGTTTTGTCTGTTGAGGTATATTTCATGAAGCATGGCTTCTTTGGCAGATGAGGCCCATGTAAATGGGACCTTCAGAGGGGTCCTACAGAGGGACAGGGCAGCCTCAAGCACTCCAGCTGCATTCTGCTGCTTAGCTGTCCTAATCTGTGTTTGATCGTATTGTCTACCTCTTCAGACACCGTATCAGCTCTGGCCACTAAATGAAATCCAAGGCCAGGCATGGTGGCCCACACCTGCAATCCCAACACTTTGGGAGGCCGAGGCGGGGAGATCACTTGAGCCTAGGAGTTCAAGGCCAGCCTGGGCAACATGACAAAACCCTGCATCTTCAAAAAGTACAAAATTAGCTGGGCATGGTGGTGGCCTGTGCCTGTAGTCCCAGCTACTGAGGAGGCCGAGACAGGAAGATCAGCTGAGCCAGGAAGTTCGAGGCTGCAGTAAGCCATCATCGCGCCACTGCACTCCAGCCTGGGAAACAGAGTGAGACCCTGTTTAAAAAAAAAAAGAAATCCAAATTCCTTTGCTTGGCATTCAAAATTCTGGTCTCCAATTCCAGTTTTGCCTCCTCTTGTGTTCTGTCTACACTGAAGACTTTGTGCTCTACGAGCATGCCTGTGCTTTCTGGACCTGTGCTTACAGACTCTTTTGTGCTTGAAATGCTTTTCCTCCTATTTCTTTAAGCCGCCGCATTTCCCAATCTTACCCATCCAAGGACCAGCTCAGATACTAGTTTCTTGACGATGTTTTCCATGGACCTTATCTGAATACACCAAGGAATCAGAATTTTGAACTGGAAAGGATTTGAAACTCATCTGGGCCCCTCCCCTCATTTTACAGAGGAGAAAATGGATTCCAGTGTCCCTCGATGTCCTTTCTCCATAAATCCCACAGCCCCATTCTTGTACTTTTCATTTGGCTTTTGGGGTCTCCCTTGACTTACCAGAGAACAAGTCTCATCCCTTTGATGTTTGTAAGCTCCTGGAAGGTAAGAACTGTATCTTTGTCATCTTTCTATTTCACTACACATAGGCCACATGCAATAACATTTTATTCAACTGAGCCAGGCACAATGGCTCATGCCTGTAATCTCAACACTTTGGGATGCCTAGGTGGGAGGATGACTTGAGGCCAGGAGTTTGAGACCAGCCTCGGCAACATAGCAATACACGTCTCTACGAAAAGGTAAAATAATTAGCTGGGTGTGGTAGTACAAGCTTCAGTGAGCTGTAATGGTGCCGCCGCGCTCCAGCCCGGATGACAGAGCGAGACCCCATCCCCAAAAGCAACAGCAAAACCCCCACAACATTTTATGCAACTGTATTGAATATTTTGTCTGTCTAAGATTGTTTATTAATTATAAATAAACAAAAACATTTTATCATAAAAACATCATTTTGATCAGCAAGTGGGTGTTCCTTAAAAGTGATTTAGAACTTGCTTTGTGCATTAAGAGTCCCAACTTGCTGCTACTGGGAATAGTAACACTGCTTGTTCAGTGTGATTCAGCCTACATTTGGAATGGCTCACTAGAAGTCTTACAGTGCAGGAGTCATAGATGTTTAAAATTTCAAGAATGTGAAAATAGTGAGTGATTCATCGGCATTTTTTGTTGGGTCATGCTGTGCATAATAGATGTGTATCTTTCAGTTATTTACGTTTCAACCTGTGGTTCTGGACTCTTGCAAACTAGCGGTATTACAGAGTCAGACCCAGAATTCGACAGTCTGCAGGAATGTCGGCGTTCTCCCCCATCCCGTATTAATAGGTTACAGGTTGCCGCAGCAGAGCAGGTCGTATTTCACAGAGCAAGACCACATTTTCAAGAATGTTTAGATAGCATTTCAATCTGTGATGGAACTTTGTATTCGTCTCCTTAGAATCCAGACAGAAAGGAAGCCCAGAAGAAATAACTGCTTTTCCTGTCATGGCCCCATCTGTCTTTTCCAGCACTTTGTAATGCAAACTGAAGTACAAGCTTTTTTTTTTCCAAGGAGCTCTTGGGTCCTGTCCTTGTCAACTCCTAGGTATGAAAGCCTTGCTCTCCAGCCCTGGCTGGCTGGTTTGCTAAAAGGAGTCTATTTGACTGCAACAGACTTGGTGGAATTACGGATGTTCCAAAATACTGAGTTTTGTAGGTCAAGAGGCCCCACGTTCCCCTCTTCCCTGGAAGAGAAGAGAAGTTTGCTTTCAGCACTCGCTTCCTAAGCTTCTGAAGAACACTCAGAAGGGAGTGGCATATGGACAAAAGGAGGTTTTCGTTTTATAAATTTAATCTTGATTGTGTTTAACCAGAACCGATGTGCCGCTTTTAAATTTGTATTTATTATTATCATGTTAGGGACAGGGTCCTGCCTTGTTGCTCAGGCTGGAGTGCAATCATTTTTCACGGTAACCTTGAACTCCTGGGGCCAAGTGATCCTCCCACCTTAGCCTCCGAAGTAGCTAGGACTACAGGCATGTGCCACCACACACAGCTATTTTTAATTTTTAATTTTTTATTTTTGGTAGAGATGGGTTCTTGCTGTGTTGCCCGGGCTGGTCTTGAACTCCTGGCCTGAAGTGATCCTCCTGCCTTGGGCTCCCAAAATGCTGAGATTATAGGCATGAGACACTTATTATTACAAGTCGTCCCCACTTACCTGTGGGGGATACATTCCAAGACCCCCAGTGGATGCCTGAAACCCAGAGAGTAGCAAACCCTATATATGCCATATTTTTTCCTATGTATACATACCTGTGATAAATTTTAGCATGCAAATTAGGCACAGTAAGAGATTCACCACAATAACTGAAAATAAAATAGCACAATTATGACAGTATGCCAGCATCACTCCTCTTGTGATTTGGAGCTGTATGTAATAGCCGAGATGGCTGCTAGGCTATACCCAGCCTAGATGTGCTTCTTGCTTCTTTGTTTTTTGTTTTGTTTTTGAGTCAGAGTCTCGCTGTCAGCCAGGCTGCAGTGCAGTGGTGTGATCTCGGCTTACTGCAACTTCTGCCTCCTGGGTTCAAGCGACTCTCCTGCCTCAGCCTCCTGAGTAGCTGGGATTACAGGCATGCACCACCACGCCTGGCTAATTTTTGTATTTTTAGTAGAGACGGGATTTCACCATGTTGGTCAGGCTGGTCTCAAACTCCTGACTTCATGGTCCGCCCGCCTCGGCCTCCCAAAGTGCTGGGATTACAGGTGCGCACCACCATGCCCAGCTCATTTTTGTATTTTTAGTAGAGACAGGGTTTCACCATGTTGGTCAGGCTGGTCTCAAACTCCTGACCTTGTGGTCCGCCCGCCTCGGCCTCCCAAAGTGCTGGGATGACAGGCGTGAGCCACCGCACCCGGCTAGGTGTGCTTCTATATCTGTAAATAAGGGGAAAGTGTTGACTTCACATTCATGGTGTCTTAAATGACATTTTTAGCAGAAAAGTTGCTTTTGAAAAGCAATGTTTTTGACTCAAAAATTATTTGGGGGTAAGGAATGATTTAAATATTGAAGGCATAATTAGGTCATTTCTTGAGCTTCTTGAAGTTTCTGAAATACCAGCCGCTTGGTTAACATTCTGCTAAACGTTTGCAGAGTCTTTGTTTTTTGACCACCTTCTATGTGGGCCAGCTTGAACTGGTCTAGTCTGTGACCTCTTCTAACCAGACGATGATGCTCTTATAAAGTTTATATGGCACGGAATCCTCCCCATTTTTATCTGTTGAAATCATCAGTCAAAAGCTTTAATTAAATGCCCACGTTTAAAACTTTGTGGATGAGTCAATTCAACAAGTACATGATGTGGTATGCTATGAAATTTTTGCAGCTTCCCAAGAATTAAAATGGATGGCTTGAACGTAGGTGAAAGAGAGGTGAATAGAGGGGCGGGTTAGAGGAAGAAAAAGCCGGCAGTGGGAAGTTTCAAGAGTGGCCAACGTTGACCGGTCGTCAGTAAGCTCTCAGACTCACAGGAGAGGATCAGCCACCGAGTTTCTGTCTCTTCAATGGAGCCTGGCTGCAATGTAGCCATTTCTTTGATCAGAACAAGAGTAAGGTTTGGGAGGAGAAGAGAATTATTACAAGTCGTCCCCACTTACCTGTGGGGGATACATTCCAAGACCCCCAGTGGATGCCTGAAACCCAGAGAGTAGCAAACCCTATATATGCCGTATTTTTTCCTATGTATACATACCTGTGATAAACTTTAGCATGCAAATTAGGCACAGTAAGAGATTCACCACAATAACTAAAAATAAAATAGCACAATTATGACAGTATGCCAGCATCACTCCTCTTGTGATTTGGAGCTGTATGTAATAGCCGAGATGGCTGCTAAGTGACTAATAGGTGCTGTATTCAGCATGGATATACTGGGTGAAGGAATGATTCGTGACCTGGTCAGGACAGAATTGGGTGGTGCAAGATTTTATCACACTACTCAGAATGGCGCATAATTTAAAATTTACTAATTGTCTGTTTCTGGAATTTTCCATGTAATATTTTTGGACCACAGTCAACTACAGGTGGCTAAAACCTCAGAAAGTGAACTGCTGATAAGGAGGGGGTGCTGTATTGCTCACTCCTTCGCTTTGGAAGAAGGATTAGGTAATTGTAGTACAATCTTCCACCCAGTTCAGGAGTCCTTTGTATTACATCTCTGACGTTTCATTATCTTGCAGAAGCTTGGCTACTTTCAGTGATGGGGAGCTTGCTACTTTGTTGGTCCACAGGACAGACTAGTTCAGTTTTATAGCTTTAGTTGTGAGAAACTCCTTTCTTAGACTGAACTGAAACAGTGAAATAGACTTCATTGTAACTTCTTGTTGATCTTAGTTCTGCCAGCTGGATGGGTGTAAGCCTAATCCCTTTTCCTTACTACAGCTTCTGAAATTGAAAATGGATATTATGTTCCTAAGTGTTCCCTTTTCTAGGCTAACCATTCTTAGTTTCTTCATCTTTATAATGCAATTTCCAGACCCTTTATCATCCTTGCTCTTGATAGCTGTTTGTCAGCATCCCTCTTAAAATGTGGTTCCCAGGAGTGGACATGCTGTGTCAACATATACACTGAGACAGTTGACCTCTTTGTTCTGGGCCGAGCTCATTAACTTAGGGACTGGGGGTCCAGAGTGTCTGTCAAGTCCCTGAAATTAACTGTAAATTTTTGTATGTCTAGACATATTTATGGGAGGAAAACTTATTGATTTTTCTAGATTTTCTAAGGAGTCTGTGACTCTTCAAAACTTAAGGGCCACCGATTTTAGACACTGTTCTTCCATTACCTTGGATTTGCTGAGATTTTTGATTGTAGACATTGTTCTTCCATTACCTTGGATTTGCTGAGATTTTTTATTTTAGACACTATTCTTCCATTACCTTGGATTTGCTGAGATTTTTGGCAGCCGTATTACATGGTTGGCTTCTACTGAGTTGGCAGTCACCTGAAACCCCCAGGTCAAGAGTCGCAAACAGATGTCCGCAGAGCTGGGAAAGTAACCTAAGCGGCGTAAGCAGGCTGGTGTGTGTCCACATGCATCCACCAGGTCCTAAGGGGATAGTCACAAGTGAATTCTAATCAGCTGTTGTCACGTCTGAACGCAGACCTGGAATTGCCAGATCTATCAGTTTTTCAAGAGCAGCCGGAAATCCGGATTTTCATGTAACTCTCACAATTTTTAACTATTGGCTTAGTGTTTTTCACAAACACTGCAAAGGGCAAACAAAACACATCTGTGGGCCAGTACTGTCCCAGGTCTTTCTTCATATGACTTTCATTTAAACTTTCTCCACCTCTGTTTGTGCAAGAGAGTCTTTGAAATTGTCAGACCGTGTGTGTCTCAGCTTTCGTTTCATCCCACTAGTTCTGCTCGATTGTTTATCCCATCAAGATCTTTGGGAGCCTTGATGACCTCCCCACTTTATCATTAGCAGATTTGCCAGACATGCCTTCTGTGTCTTCATTCAAGTTGTAGATGAAAAGGCAGAATGGAGTGGATTCAGAGCCGTGTGACGTGCCGTCAGAGGCTTCCTGTTCTTCCTCCTCACTTCAGCGCAAAGTGCCAGACCCAAAAAACAGGATTTCTACCTGTCTGTGTGTGTCGTCCGGGGCTGTTTCTTCATCTTCCCATGTCTTGATTTTCACCAAAAAAGGAGGCTGTTAATACTTGCCTTCTTCACTTTTACATAGAGATATCATAAAGATTATGAACTAAAGCAGCAAAGTACATTGCCTTCCAAGGAGAAAGTGTTCCTTGCTTTTCTTCCTCAAAATTAGCATATTATGCAATTCAAGCATTAGAACGAAAATAGGCCGGGCTTGGTAGCTTACGCCTGTAATCCCAACACTTTGGGAGGCGGAGGTGGGCGGATCGCCTGAGATCAGGAGTTTAAGACCAGCCTGGCCAACATGGGGAAACCTGGGCTTTACTAAAAATACAAAAATTAGCCAGATGCAGTGGTGCGTGCCTGTAGTCCCAGCTACTCACGAGGCTGAGGCTGGAGAATCACTTGAACCTAGGAAGTGGAGGTTGCAGTGAGCTGAGATGGTGCCACTGCACTCCAGCCTTGGTGACAGAGTGAGACTCCATCTCAAAAAAAAAAAAAAAAAAAAAAAAAAATTAGTCCAGCATGGTGGCACAAACCTATAGTCTTGGCTACTCAGGAGTTTGAGGTAGGAGGATTGCGTGAGCCCAGGGGTTTGAGGTTACAGCAGTCTATGATGGCACCTCTACACTGCAGCCTGGGGACCCTGTCTCAAGTGAAAAGAACAAAAATAACTGCTCTCCAAGACTGACTTCCCAGCATGGCATTGATCTTCATTATGTGGGATTTTGAATTTGTCATTGTCAGCTCACTAGAAGGAGACTTTATATTCTTATCCTCCCTCACTTTAAATTGATCCTTTCTCTCATCCTCTCTTGGGAGGAAAATGAAGCCCATTGATTGATAAAAATTGAAGAAAGTAATTGGTATTAGTATTAAAGGGACCACAAATAGTTTGGAAAAAAATGGCAATTGCTACTTGCTTCTTCCTACTAAAACATACCACAGCTAAAGCGACTGAGCTTTTAGAGTATGGCCTCGAAGTTTCCCATTAGTGGCCAAGATTGGCTGGACATTTTTTGTTTCTTTTCTGTTATTATTTTTTGCGTTGTACTTTTCAGCATGTCTGCAAATAACACTAAACTTCAGGAATTGCTGAGGTTTGGACATGACCTGGGAGTGCCCTGAACACCGTGATCTGTGGGGCAGCCCTGGAGTCGGGTTGTTAGATCAGCCTTTTGTAGGGGCAGAGTTTTGATTCGGGCTCACAGTCATTTCCCAACCAGGATTTCTTACGTCTAGTGCAGAGGTCAAGGTTGGCTTGCCTTTGTCAAGTTGAATCCGGTGACTGTTCATTTTGCCTGCTTCTAGAGTGCTACTGGTTGTAGTTGAGGCGGGGCGGGCGACTGTTCATTTTGCCTGCTTCTAGAGTGCTACTGGTTGTAGTTGAGGCGGGGACTCATAAAATGTCCGTTAACTGTTTAACAATGTAGTGCAACTGGGTTTGGCCTCACTACCATTCTTCATCCTGTTTATTGCACACAAGCCTTGTGTATTAGTCCGTTCTCACACTGCTATGAAGAAATACCTTAGACGGGGTAATTTATAAAGGAAAGAGGTTTAATTGACTCACATTTCTGCAGGGCTGGGGATGCCTCAGGAAACTTACAATCATGGTGGAAAGGGAAGCAAACCCATCCTTCTTCACAAGGTGGCAGGAGAGAGGAAGAATGAGAGCTGAGCGAAGGGGGAAGCCTCTTACAAAACCATCAGATCTTGTGAGAACTTACTATCACGTGAATAGAATGGGAGAAACCACCCCGTGGTTCAGTGACTTCCCACCAGGTCCCTCCTATGACATGTAGGGATTTGGGTGGGGACACAGCCAAATCATATCACCTTGATAGCGCTTTTTTGGCAGGGAGACATGTCTGCGGCATATTTGGAACACTTTGCCACGTATCCTCTAAAATCCCTCATTTTTAGAAAAGCTATAAGGAATCCAAATAGCTATCTTCTCTCCTCTATGTACAGTGAAGGACTGGGCATTTTATTTCAATTCTCTAAGGATTGGTGTAGTTAGATATCTTCAGTGATGTAACATTGGATGGCATCTTGGTAAAGTGAAAAAAACTTGAGCTTTGAATTTAAATTTTGTCTCTGCTGTTATCTGTGTGACCTTGGACAAGATATTTAACTTTCCATCTGTGACATGGAGATAATAATACGTACCTCAGGGTTAGGGGGGATTAGAATTAATATACTTTATTTTATTTATCCACTTATTTATTTATTTGTTTTTGAGACAGGGTCTTACTTTGTTGCCCAGGCTAGAGTGGAGTGGTGCAATCACAGCTCGCTGCGCCCTCAACCTCGTGGGCTCAAGTGATCCTCTCACTTCAGCGTCCCGAGTAGCTGGGACCACAGGCACATGCCACCATGCGCATCTTTTTTTTTTTTTTTTTGAGACTGAGTCTTGCTCTCTCTCCAGGCTGGAGTGCATTGGTGCGATCTTGGCTCACTGCAGCTTCTGCCTCCTGGGTTCAAGCAATTCCCCTGCCTCAGCCTCCTGAGTAGCTGGGACTACAGGCATGTGCCACCACGCCCGGCTAATTTTCTGTATTTTAGTGGAGATGGGGTTTCCCCATGTTGGCCAGGATGGTCTCGATCTTCTGACCTCATGATCTGCGTGCCTCAGCCTCCCAAAGTGCTGGGATTACAGGTATGAGCCACCGCACCTGGCTTTTTTTTTTTGAGCTGGAGTCTTGCTGTGTCACCCAGGCTGGAGTGCCGTGTTACGATCTCTGCTCACTGCAACCTCCGTCTCCTGGGTTCAAGTGATTCTCCCTGCCTCAGCCTCCCAAGTAGCTGAGATTACAGGCGACCACCACCACGCCTGGCTAGTTTTTATATTTTTGGTAGAGACAGGGTTTCACCATGTTGGCCAGGCTGGTCTTGAACTTCTGATCTCAGGTGATCTGCCCACCTTGGCCTCTCAAAGTGCTGGGATTACAGGCGTGAGCCACTGCGCCCAGCTAATGTAATTTTTAAGTATTGTGTAGATGAGGTCTCGCTATGTTGCCCAGGCTAGTCTCAAACTCCTGGCCTCAAGCAATCCTTCTGCCTCAGCCTCCTAAAGTGCTGGGATTACAGGCATGAGCCACCACATCTGGCCTAGAATAAATGTATTTTAAAACACCTTTTTTGCACAATGTTGGGCTCACTCATGTTTAGTAAATGGCAGGAACACCAGTGCTGCTGATACACAGTCCACTGGAATTTCAGTTTTCCTAGTTCCGTGCATCCAGGTATTTGTCGAGTTCCTGTGGCTTTTCCGTCAGCTCCATCAGCTCCTCTCCAGCCCCACTGCTGTGCTTTAAAGCAACTCCAGGTTTACTTGTTCTGAATTATCCCAGGCCCCTTACTGCCTTCAGCGTGCTGTTCTCTGTGAATAAAAATGGCGGCACAGCTTACCTATGGTCCAGAATATCTGCTGTGGCAACAGTGGTGGTCAAAGGTTCATTTCTCTTGTCCTGTCTTCAAGACCTCCATTAGATGTTTGCCTGGCGTGACATGCAATATCACCCTATAGTTAAAATAAACATTCCACTTGACAACAGAATTTATTATTTGTATTGTTTTTGAAATTTGAGACTGCAGATAGATTTTTTTTCATTTCTAGTTTTTATAACTTCCAAATTCTTCTTTTTTTTCTTCTTAGAGACAGGGTCTCACTCTGTCATTCAGGCTGGAATGTAATGGCAGGATCGTAGCTCACTCTAGCCTTGAACTCCTGGGCTCACGTGATCCTTCCACCTCAGCCTCCCAAGTAGCTAGGACTACAGGTGCACACCACTATGCCTGACTGTTTTAAAACACTTTTTGTAGAGATGGAATCTCACTGTGTTGCCCAGGCTGGTTTAGAACTCCTGGCTTCAGGTGATCCTCCCACCTACGCTTCCCAGAGTGCTGGAATTACAGGCATGAGCCACTGCAACCAGCCAATTCTCTTCTCTCTCTGTTTTTTTTTTTAGAGACAGGGTCTCGCTCCAGGGTCATCCAGGCTGGAGTGTGGCGTGCATAGCTCACTGTCTCAAACTCCTGGCCTCAAACGATCCTCCCACCTCAGACTTCCAAGTAGGTAGGACTACAAGTGCATGTCACCATGTCTGGCTAATTTTTTAATTTAAAAAGTTTTTTTTTGTAGTGATGGGGTGTTCCTTTATTGCTCTGGCTGGTCTTGGACTCCTTACCTCAAGCGATCTTCCTGCCTCAGCCTCCTGAGTGGCTGGAATTACAGGTGCAAGCCACCACACCTGTTTCCAGATTTTTCTCAATCATACACATGCTTCTTAACTTGCAATGAAGAATAAGTTCTTATTCTGATAAACCCATCGTAAGTTGAAAATATCCTAAGTTGAAAATTTATTAATACATGTAATTTACTGAACATCATAGCTTAGCCTACCGTGCCTTAAATTTATTTGCTCAGAACACTTACATTAGGCTACAGTCAGGCAAATCATCTAACACCGAGCCTATTTTATACTAAAGTGTTGAATAGCTCATGTGATCTGTTGAATACTGTACAGAAAGTGAAAAACAGAGTGGTTGTATGGGTACCCAAAGTATGGTTTCTACAGAATGTTTCTCACCTTTGCACCATCGTGTAGTAAGAAAATTCTGTGTTGAACCATCCCAAGTTGAGGGCCGTTGGTATATTATTTTAGAAGAAAAGTATTTTTGGATGCCGTATTGTAATGAACAGAAGGAACTGACACCTGGGTCACTGCAGGGAGCCTTTGCTGCCTGTTCAACACCGGTTTCCAGACCCAGGCTCTTGGAACTGCAGTCTTCCCTTCCTGGCTCTCAGACTCAAAGCTGCCCGCTTTCTCCACTCCAGCTGTTTGTGTTGAGTACATCTGTCTTTTTGTTTTCTCTGTCTCTCATTGCATCTCTAAAGCAAGGCAGTTTTTACGCCAAGATCATCAGGACTTTTACAGGTATTGGGATCTGTTTTCCTTTATTAGTCTTTTTTTTTCCTTTTTTTGGAAACAGAATCTAGCTCTTGTTGCCCAGGCTGGAGTGCAGTGGCGCGATCTCGGCCCACGGCAACCTCCGCCTCCTAGGTTCAAGTGATTCTCCTGCCTCAATCTCTCGAGTCGCTGGGATTACAGGCGTGAGCCACCATGCCTGGCTAATTTTTTGTATTCTTTAGTAGGGACGGGGTTTAATTATGTTGGCCAGGCTGGTCTCGAACTCCTGACCTCGGTGATTCACTCGCCTCGGCCTCCCAAAATGCTGGGATTACAGGTGTGAGCCACCGCGCCCGGCCAACTTGTTGATTTAAGAAAAGAAAAAAAGGAAATCTCTGGGACTTTGATTGGGATTGCGTTGAGTCTATAGATCAATTGAAGGAGAATTGACATCTTTACAATATTAAATCTTCCAATCTATGAACATGGAATATTTCTTCATATATTTAGGTCTTTAGTTTCTCTCAACAGTGTGTTTTAGTTTTTAGTATATAGATCTTGCTCATAGTTTGCTAGATTTATACTAAATATTTTGTGGTTTTTGGTATGATTATAAATGGTATCTCTTAAAATTTAAATTTCCAGTTGTCTCTTGCTAGTTGTGGAAATGTAATTGATTTTTATTTATTGACCTTATATTGTGCAGCTTTGCTGAACTCACTTATTAGTTTCAGGAATTTTTTTTTTGTAGGCTTTTGGGATTTTTAAAAAGTAGATAATCATCTCACCTATGAATAAAATATTTTTTGCCTTATTACTCTGGCTAGGACCTACAGTGTGATATGGAATAAAACTGGTGAAAGTGAATAGTTTGCTTTGTTCCCATGATATAGTTGGATTTAAATCTAGCATCTTGCTTGTTTTCTGTTTGTTCTTGTACTTCCTTGTCCTGGGTCCACAATATGCATCTTTATCACAGTCATATTGTCACTGATGTCACAGTGATGACATTGTATCACTTCACATGTAATGTGAGAGTCTTTTCATAGCAGGCTTCTGACCTCTTCCTCACATCCTCTCTGCATTCCACTCTGCCCCACATCTTGTTTTTACGTATTATGAACACCATCACTGTTGCTATTTTTGCTAATTAGAGTAATTAAAAATAAATTTTAAAAATATTTTTATTGTTTGTCAGTTTTCAAGTTTCTACATTTATTTTATATTTTTAGAGATGGGGTCTTGCTATGTTGCCTGAGCTGGCCTCAAACTCCTTGGCTCAAGTGATCTTCCTGCCTCAGCCTCCTGAGTAGCCGGAGGCTATTGGCGTGTGCCACCACACCCAGCTATTTTATTTTATGTTTGAAGAAGTAAATTGTATTGTGTATATGTAAGGTGTATAACATGTTATAGGATACATAAAGACAGTAAAATAGCCTGCAGAGAAGCAAATGAAGGCATTTGTCACCTCACATAGATCTCATTTTTATCTCCTTAGATCTGAGTTTTTTCTGTACCATATTTGTTCTGCCTCATGAACTTCCTTTAGTGTTTCTTATAACACGGTCTGCTGGCAAGAAATGCTCTCAGCTTTTCTTTGCTTGAAAAGTTTTAATTTTGCTTTTATTTTTTAAAAATATTTTTGCTTGGTTTAGGACTCTAGGTTGGCAGTTTTGTTGTTTTATTTTTTTTTAGTACTTTAAAAATGTCAGTCTTTGTCTTCTAGCTTGCATTGTTTCTGAGAAGTCAACCCTTATTCCTCTTGGGATCTCAGCACTTCTTGGATCAGTGGTTTAATGCCTTTCACTTAAAAAAAAATTCTCAGCCATTATCTCTTCAAATGTTTCTGTTGTGTTCTCTCTTCCTCCTAGAATTCTACTTACATGTGTTTTAGAACATTTAATACTGTCCTGCAGGTGTTGGATTTTCTTTTCTTTTTTCCTCTTTGTGTTTCAGTTTGGGTACTTTCTATTGACCCACCTTAAAGTTCACCAATCCTTTTTTTGCTGTGTCGAGTGTGATGAGGCTGTTGAAGGAATTCTTCAGCTCTGACACCATGTCCTTTTTTCTAGCATTTCCATTTGACTCTTATAATTTCCTGCTCTCTGCTGCAATTCTTCATCTGTTCGTGCAGGTAAAACACCTTTTCTACCAGATTCTTTAGCATATTATTCATTGTTATTTTAAAATCCCCTCCTCTGTAGCCTATCTAATATTTATACCAAATGGCTCCTCTTTGAGACAGGTTCTGTTGGTTGCTTTGTCTCTTAACAATGGGTGCTTTTCCTTTCTTCCCTTTCTTCTTTTTTTTCTTTTTTGGCGTATATATGTCTTAAAATTTTTTATTGAATGCCAGGCATTTTGTGTAGAAGAGGAGAGAGTGCCCCCATTTTTTCCTCATGAACACCCAGTGAAGGTCTTGGAAAAGAGCCTGAGAGTGGGTGCAAACCCACCTGTGCTTACACTTTCCAGGCCTCCCTACCATTGCGCCAGCCCACACTTGGCCTTTAGTAACTTGTTAAAAACTTTCCTTCAGCCCTCTCGCCTGCTTGTGTGGCACCCCCGTCTTCCTTACATGCCCTTCTACATGGAGACGGTTCTCCTGTCCTGTCTTTCCTGGGGGAGCACCTTCCTTCTTGGATTTCAGGATGCTTGGTTACCTTTAGCTCTCTGCTAGGTTCAAGAAAAGTTGTGGTTTTCAGTTTCCGTTTTCCTCCTTGTTAGTGTAAGAGCAGCACTCTTTCTGCTTTCTGCATCCTCGGCAGAAGCACAGCTGATCAGCGGGTTTCATGCAGCATATAGTATGGCAAGTTCATTAATTCAATTTCAAATCCCACACTGCAGCTAATCCTCAAGAATCTACCACTTTTTGAGTTTTAGTGTAGTTTAAAAAAGGCTTATCACCAAGTACCTGAAAAGGGCTGCTGTGTTTAAAGTGTTCTGTTCTATGAATTGCAGCTGAATAGACTAAGAAATGGGTATTAAAATATTTCTTCCTTTTCTAATTACATATATCTATGTGAAGCCAGATTTTCTTCATATTTTCAACCAAAACAGCATGTCACAGCACAGGAATGTTGGTATCTCCCACGATTCCTATGCTGGAACTTAATCCCTATTGTGACAGGATTTAAAAGCAGGGCCTTTGGGAGGTGACTGAGTCACAAGGGGTCTGCCCTCATCTGTGAGATCAGTGTCCTCATAAAAGACTTTTGAAGGATGGCCATTTGCCCCTTTCCCCATGTGAGGACACATAGAAGATGCCGTCTGTGAGGAAAGGGCCCTCACTGGGCACCAGATCTCCTGGTGCCTCCATCTTGGACTTTCCAGCTTCCAGGACTGTTAACAATTTCTGTTGTTTAGAAATTACCCAGTTTAAAGTATTTGGTTATATTAATAGCAGCCTAAATAGACAAAGAGTTGGGTATTAAAGTATTTCTTCCTTTTCTAACTACATATATCTATGTGAAGCCAGATTTTCTTCATATTTTCAACCAGAACAACAGATCACAACAGATTCAATATGGAAGCGTGTATGGGAGTCCAGCTGGTGTTTATCAGAGCAGACACTAAAGATTTTTGCAGAGACACCCCAGCAGTGCCACGCTTCTCAAGAAATTTGTTTTGTAGGCCGGGCGCAGTGGCTCACGCCTGGAATCCCAGCACTTGGGGAGGCTGAGGCAGGCAGATCACGAGGTCAGGAGTTCGAGACCACCCTGACCAATATGGTGAAACCATGTCTCTACTAAAAATACAAAAGTTAGCTGAGTGTGGTGGCATGCACCTGTAGGCCCAGCTACTCGGGAGGCTGAGGCAGAAGAATAACTTGAACCCAGGAGGCTGAGGTTGCGGTGAGCCGAAATTGCACCACTGCACTCCAGCCTGGGCAACAGAGCAATATTCCCTCTCAAAACAGAAAACAAAAAACAAACAAACAAAAAAACAACTTTGTTTTGTCTGGGGGGAAAATATAGTTATTTTTCAAAAAACATGTAATTTATGCTAACATGTAATATATTTATCATTGTCATGTTTAAATGGATTAACAGATACATATTTTTTATTTAAACTCCTCAGTTTTAATCTCCAACATTGGTATATGTCAGTAGATATAACCTACATAAACCCTTTCAATAAATTTCCAAGGGTATAAAGAGATTCTGAGGTCAAAAAGTTTTAGAAATGCTCTTTAGGATCAGCTAAGAGTGGGAATGGCAGGCAGTTTGTTCTTGATTTTAATGACAGGCACTTTACATAGTGTATCTGTTCATTTGCTCACTCAGTACATATTTAGTGAGTGCCTTCTGTGTGGTTGGCACTATTTTAAGCATTGAGAATTACACAATGAAAAAAGCAAAAGACACTTCTCTCCCGGAGCTGACACCAAGTGTAATGTTGTCTTGTTTCCCGATTCTTTTGACTGTTAAGGAGAGATCTTCACAATCTTGGTCACTAAGCACTTTTGCCAGAAAATAGACGTTGGATTTTATCATATGCCCTCTCAGCATGTACTGAATATAGTCATAGGGGTTTTTTCATGTTGTTGATTTGTTTAAGTTTTTTTTTCCTTCTTTTTAAAATATTTAACCTTTCATAAATGCTTGCTGGGTCATCGTGTATTGTCTTTTAAATATATTGTTGAATCCTAGTATTTTTATCTGGGATTTTGATTCATGTTAAAAAATGAAATTAGTTTGACATTTTCTTCTTTTTGGTTATCATTGTTAGATTTTGTATCGGGTTTATGTCAGTTTTTGTTGTTGTTATTTTGAGACGGAATCTCGCTTTGTCACCCAGGCTGGAGTGCAGTAGTGCGATCTTGACTCACTGCAACCTCTGCCTCCTGGGTTCAAGCGATTCTCCTGCCTCAGCCTCCCGAGTAGCTGGGATAACAGACGCCTGCTACCATGACCGGCTAATTTTTGTATTTGTAGTAGAGATGGGGTTTCACCATGTTGGCCAGATTGGTCTTGAACTCCTGACCTGAAATGATTCACCCACTTCGGCCTCCCAAAGTGCTGGGATTACAGGCGTGAGCCACCGCGCCCAGCCATGCCCAGCTAAATTTTTGTATTTTTAGTAGAGACGGGGTTTCACCATGTTGGCCAGGCTGGTCTCGAACTCCTGACCTCAGGTGATCCACCTGCCTCGGCCTCCCAAAGTGCTGGGATTACAGGTGTGAGCCACCATGCCTGACCTTTGTCAGCTTTATAAAACAAACTGGGATGCTTCCCATTTTTTGCAACCGCAGAGACCATTTAAATAGTAAACTGTTTCAGAGAGTCAGACTATAGATAATATACCCTGAAGTCCCTGAAGTCTTTGAAACAATTGACCCATTATCAAGGTCAAGTGCCTTTTGGGAGATTGGTTTCTTGGCAGCCTTTTCTGTTATTTCTGTGGTTATAGTTACATCTTCCACTTCTTGAGTTGATTTTAGTAAGTCCTTGTTCTTGAAAATAATTTTACTCAGATGTTTAAGTTTATTCATCCTTTCCAATTCTCTGTTTATATTCTCTTTCCATTCTTTTTGTTTTGTTTTGGTTTTTTGAGACGGAGTCTTGCTCTGTTGCTCAGGCTGGAGTGCAGTGGCGCAATCTCGGCTCACTGCAAGCTCCGCCTCCTGGGTTCAAGCGATTCTCCCGCCTCAGCCTCCCAAGTAGCTGGGACTACAGGTGGCCGCCACCACGCCTGGCTAATTTTTGTATTTTTAGTAGAGATGGGGTTTCACCGTGTTGGCCAGGATGGTCTCAATCTCCTGACCTCGTGATCTGCGCGCCTCGGCCTCCCAATGTGCTGGGATGACAGGTGTGAGCCACCGCATCTGGCCTCTCTTTTCATTCTTAATTTTATGTTTTCTCTTTCCCACACCCCCAATCCTAGATTAAAACAGCCAGAATTTCTTTAGGCCTTCTCAGAGGACTTGCACTTGGATATATTTGTCAGTTCTCCTCTTTTCCTGTTTCAGTTCATTACTCTGTACCTTTATATTTTACTGCTTTCATCTCTGTTGTCTTTATGCTCCTTCTACTTCTTGTTATGTAAGAAGAGCGCTTAAAGGTACGGCTTTTCTCTGAATGCCACTTTGGCCACATCTCCTGAGTGTTAAAAATGAATTTTTAATGGCGGGGGCGCGGTGGCTCACGCCTGTCATCCCGGCACTTTGGGAGGCCGAGGCGGGCAGATCACGAGGTCAGGAGATCGAGACCATCCTGGCTAACACGGTGAAACCCCGTCTCTACTAAAAATACAAAAAAATTAGCCAGGCGTGATGGCGGGCGCCTGTAGTCCCAGCTACTTGGGAGGCTGAGGCAGGAGAATGGCGTGAACCCGGGGGGTGGAGCTTGCAGTGAGCCGAGATCATGCCACTGCACTCTACCTGGGCGACAGAGCGAGACTCTGTCTCAAAAAAATATATATATATATATATTTAGCCAGGAGTGGTGGCACATGCCTGTAATCCCAGCTACCCGGGAAGCTGAGACAGGAGAATCGCTGGAGCCCAGGAGGCAGAGGTTGTAGTGAGCCGAGATCGTGCCACTGCACTCCAGCCTAGGCGACAGAGCGAGACTCTGTATCAAAAAAAATAAAAAAGAATTTTTATTGTTTTTATTTTTATGGGTTTTTTGTTTTTGTTATTTTGAGACAGAGTCTCACTCTGTCACCCAGTCTGGAGTGCAGTGGCTTGATCTTGGCTCACTGCAGTCTCCACCTCCCGGGTTCAAGCGATTCTCCTGCCTCAGCCTCCCAAGAAGCTGGGACTACAGGTGCCCGCCACCATGTCCAGCTAATTTTTTTGTATTTTTAGTAGAGATAGGGTTTTGCTATGTTGGCCAGGCTAGTCTGAAACTCCTGACCTCAGGCAGTCCGCCTGCCTCATTTGACCTCTCAAAGTGCTGGGACTTCAGGCGTGAGCCACCGGGCCTGGCTTTTTTTCTCTCTTGAGACAGGGTCTGGCTGTGTCACCTCGGCTTCAGTGCAGTGATAAAATCATGGCTCACTGCAGCCTCGACCTCCCAGGCTCAAGTAATCCTCCCACCTCAGCCTCCTGAGTAGCTGGGACTACAGGCACTCGCCACCACGCCTGGCTAATTTTTTTTGTATTTCTCGTGGAATCCGGGTTTTGCTGTGTTGCCCAGACTGGTCTTGAACTCATGGGTTCAAGCGACCTCCTGCCTCAGCCTTTTAAATGTTGGGATTACAGGTGTGAGCCACCACACCTGGCCTGGTTTTTTTTCTTGGCAAGTAGCTTGGTGTAATTGATGATGCTTTTAAAAATTTTATTAAATTTCATTTTAGTAAATATAACCTTTTTCAATTTTTTATATGGCTATATTTTAACAGCATTAGTGAGCTATAATTCACATATAATTCATCTATTTAAAGTATACTGTTCAGTGGTTTTTGATATTACATTATTTTTTAAACCTTGTAAAATATGTATATAATATAGAATTTATTATTTTAACATTTTTAAGTGTATAATTAGTGGTATTAATTACATTCATAATGTACAACCACCACTACCACTATTTCTGAAATTTATTCATCACCCCAAATAGAAACTCTGTAAACATTAAAACCATTAAGTCCTTCCTTCCCCTGCCCACTTTCCTCAACTTCTTGTAACCTCTATTTTACTTTCTGTCTCTATGAATTTGCCTATTCTGGGAACTTTATATTAATATAAGTGGAATTCTACAATATTTGACCCTTTGTATCTGGTGTATTTCACTTCTGTGGTCTTCAGGATTCATCCACGTTGTAGCATGTATCAGCACTTTCTTCTCTTTTACGGGTGAATAATATTCCGTGGTGTAGTTCCACCACATTGTGTGTATCCATTCATCTGTCCATGGACACTTGGATTGTTTCCACCATTTGGCTTTTGTGAACAGTGATGCTATGAATATTGGCATACAAATACCTGTTTGAGTTTCTGCTTCCGTCCCTTATGCTGTGTACCTAGGAGTGGAATTGCTGGGTCACATGGTAATTTTTAATCATTGCAATATTTAATCTCTTTAGAAACATTTTTCCATATTGTTCTGAACTTTCATAGATTCATTCTTTCCATAGACTCAGGTGCATTAACACAAGCGTTCTGTTTTGTCTTCATTTAATTAATATAGACAACATGTTTCTGATTAGCAAGAATCTTAAGCTTTTGTATGTAGTGCCTACTCATGGAGATGTTCTCTCCCACAAAAAAAAAAAACCACCCTGATTTTTTCTTTTATTTAGTTAACTAGTCCAGCAGTTGGACTGTTTCCTTCCTGACCTTAGAAACGCCAAGTCCCGCTTTTCTGCAACATGATTATTGAAAATAGTTTTAGGAAAATACTGCGCCAAGAAAGAACACTGAAGTTTATTGTTCTTCTGAGCCATCTCCATATAAATTGGCAGGTTCTTCTGAGCCATCTCCATATAAACTGGCAGTCTTCAGGAGCCAAGAAAGAAGGTCAAGCGTAACTCACCATCTGCTTA
The DNA here is from genome assembly GCF_000001405.40 of Homo sapiens. Taxonomy (NCBI): domain Eukaryota; kingdom Metazoa; phylum Chordata; class Mammalia; order Primates; family Hominidae; genus Homo; species Homo sapiens. The sequence continues at coordinate 236,053 of NW_017363817.1, read as the reverse complement.
TTTCCATGTTAGAGGCAGTCACAAGTTTAAACTAGACTCTGCGTCTCAAGAGGAAAATGCCATTCATCACCACTGTAACTGCTCTGGCTAGTACCCAGGTCACTCTTGCTTTTGATTGCTAGTAGTTAGAAATCGTGTAAGGAAAATTCCATCCTCAGTTTGAGGCTGTGCATTAGAAAAATTGCGGAATTACTGCCAACAGAGCAAAGCCTTCTGGATTTCAGGTCCTTGATACAAGAAGTCACTGAGATATGTTTGTACAATGGATGGGAATTTGGCTTTCTGTCTTCATGGAAGAACTTGGCCTCCTTTTTCCTCTTCCCTCTTTCATCCACGGAAACAGTATTTAGAAGAGCACAGATTCAGCGTTGTGGTTGTGCCGTCACCATTTCCATGTGTAAGTCTCCATTTTCAAGAGTCTGTAACTATAAAATTTCCTTTGCTCCAATTTGGACTCCAGGGTCTCCTCTGGAAGGAGATTAGTTTTGCAAAACCAAAGATAATACATCTGTTTTGGCTTGGCGTTTTGTAGTCATCTAGATTAAAGCTCTAAAATACATCAGAAACTTGTCGTCCTCCGTATATTATTGGATCCCATGCCGGGGTTTCTAATTTCTGTTTCTGTATTGCATCGTAGACTCTGAACAGATGCTGTGTTCGTTTCTAGGTATTGTATGTGATACCTGGAATATGGATGTTAGGCAAAAATGTATTAGTGCCACTTTCATAATGACCCCCAATTTGGAGGGGGGCATTTCTTCTGGAGATATACTTACTACCAAGTAAGTTTTTTTTTTTTTTTTTTTTTTGAGATGGGAGTCTCGCCCTGTCGCCCAGGATGGAGGTGTGATCTCAGCTCACTGCAACCTCCGCCTCCTGGGTTCAAGTGATTCTCCTGCCTCAGCCTCCTGAGTAGCTGAGATTACAGGTGCCTGCCACCACACCCGGCTAATTTTTGTATTTTCGGTAGAGACGGGTTTTCACCAGGTTGGCCAGGCTGGTCTCGAACACCCAACCTGAGGTGATCCGCCCGCCTCTGCCTCCCAAAGTGTTGTGATTACAGGCGTGAGCCACTGCACCTGGCCCCAAGTAAGTTTGATGATTCAAATTCTGTCTTTAAAGCAGGAGAAAAGGTGTATTTGAGGGGTCTTTACCCCATCTCAGACCGAATTCTTAACTCCTGTCTCCTTGTTGTACTTGAGCTTTTCTTGTTCCTAGTCACAAGGGAACGGTCGCGACAGACAGCCCTCTCCTACTTCCGTGATAACCGTAGAATTATCAGCTAGGCAAAGTGCTACTTCTAATAAGTCAGAAATTTAAACTTTTTTTTCATTGAAGACTTAGAGATTCTAGTCTTTAGAGATTTCTGGTAACTAGTGTCTTGTGGGCAGGTTCTAGGACCGTTTGTCAGCCCTGGAATTTTCCAGATCTCTGTAATTAAGGATGTACTGTTTTAAGGCTGATCTGTTCTTGATTCATTCACTGTAAGCAAAGACACATTTTCAGTTGCTTTTGCAGAACATAACATTTTGAGTCATTTGTCTTGATCTGTAATGCTAATGTTTTATTACACTATAAATGTTTACCTTGCAAAATATTGTTGCATATATTACTTTACTTGATTTACTCGATTCACATGTTTACAAAGATGTGTGAATTAGGCCACGTAGATGCTGTTCTCCCCATTTTACAGATGAAGAGATGGCCCGCATCAGTTCTGTGACGTGCCCAAAATCACACGAAGCGAGTTAATCACAGACCCAGATTTTCTCATTCGCAGTATGCTGCATACTTGTCCATACTAAATTATCTTTAAACAGTGACAAACATTTAAAAGCAGATTTGGGAGCCACCTGTTTTGCTGTGGAGCCTGGAAGGCTGATTCATAAGGAATTTCAAATAATGGCAGTGACCATGGCCTCATTAGCCAGCTTGGTCCCCCTCAGTATGACGAAGAAACTGGACTGAGAGAAGAACCCCAGGTTGAAGAGAACTCTCTGTGTTCTGCACACCTGTGCTGCCGAAAATACAGACACCAGTGAGGCCCTAAAGAGAGTAAGCGAACCAGGAAGAGAAAAAAATCACACAGATGAATCCTCGCAGCCTGAAGGGCATTTGGCACAGAAGGTGTCTCAAAAAGTCAGCTGAGGGAACATCCAGATGTCACGCAAAAGGATGTTTTCTCCTGAATGAAGACTTACGATATAGATGAGAGTTATGAAGTGACTAAAATGAGAAGTAATAGTAAGATATGGGGAATTAGAATGAAGTCAATAACCTCGAACTTGGCAACTGGAAGTCCTGGCTATTTGGGAAAAGTAGTCCTTTGTTAAACTTGGACAAGTTGTTCCTTTTAATGTGCCCCATTTCCAAAAATATTGAATTTCTTTACCTTTCATTCAGCAAAAGCAGCAGAAACTTTTGCTTAAACGTTTCCTTGTCTTTTGCCACTTGGAGGTGTTGCTTGAAATGCTCTCATCCTCCGGGGTTACCTTTCGTCAAAGGAAGCTGCATGAACGCATCCGTCACTCGCAGCTATTTCAGGGCTAGCTTGTTTTAAGTTAGGGGTGATAACAGATATAGGCAGAACTTTGCAATGTAAATGTTTAGTCTTATTTGGGCACTGCTGAATTTGTTTCCGAGCCTCGTCTTGTGATTTTAATTTCTGGCTTGTCTCCTGAAAACAACAAAAATGAGCTCTTTGGTTCACATTTTCAGTGGCTTTGGTTTGCAGAAATCATAAATAAAAGTAACTTACATGGAACAGAACATTTTAACAAACAAGGTGAGAATTACTCCGTTTGCTCTTTACAGTCCTTTGGTTTTTGGTTCACAAACTTGGAAAGAAATCTGTGCTTTAAATAAAGCCTTCTTATACTCCAGGTTCCTAAGTGGTGTGGAGGAATTTGTGTAAACATCAGTGATTCTCATCTGATGGGCGCCATCTGGCATTTGACCAGGGCAGTCCTGGTTGAGTTCTCGGACACGTAGGGAAGCAAAGAGCTGTAGACGTGCAGCCATCTGTGGCTGTGAGAGTCCGACAGCCTCTGCTGCTGTTGAGCACCATCATGGGGAGTGGGCTGCGTTGTTGGCATTGCTGAGGCTGGGTGTGTGAGAGTCCCGCAGCCTCTGCTGCTGTTGAGCACCGTCGTGGAGAGCGGGCTGCATTGTTAGCATTGCTGAGGCTGGCTGAAGCACCTCTGTTTCAGCTGGGGATACCTCGTTTCCATAGCAACAGCTCTCAGTGATGCCGGGGTGGTCAGCAGTAACAAAAGAAGAGACTTTCTCTAAAGAGAGGCGACTTGACCCTTGGTGTCCACCCTCAGTGGATGTGGTGAGGGCTTCCGTGTAGGGCTTATCAGATGTGGTAGCACTCATCCATGTTTCTGCTCTCTGGAGGACCTCCTGGCTTTCGAAATGATGCTGCCGTTGTTTTTTTTTTGTTTTTGTTTTTGTTTTTTTTTTGCGACGGAATCTTGCTCTGTGCCCCAGGCTGGAGTGCAGTGGCACAATCTCGGCTCACTGCAAGCTCCACCTCCTGGGTTCACGCCATTCTCCTGCCTAAGTCTCCCGAGTAGCTGGGACTACAGGCGCCCGCCACCACGCCCGGTTAATTTTTTGTATTTTTAGTAGAGACGGGGTTTCACCGTGTTCGCCAGGATGGTCTCGATCTCCTGACCTCGTGATCCACCTTCCTCAGCCTCCCACAGTGCTGGGATTACAGGCGTGAGCCACTGCGCCCGGCCGCTGCCATTCTTTATTCATCGCTCTTTGTATCATTTTGTGTATAATTCAGACATGTATTCCTTACAAGCCCTTTAAAGATACATTCCCTAGCTAGTGATCTTTTTCTCTCAGTATCTAGCACAGTACATGTAATAGGCACTCACTTTTTAATTGAATGAATGAACAAAAGACTTCAATTTTTTTCTGGAGAATGTCTCATTTTCAGCATGGTTCAAAGATTCCATCCTCTTAATCCATGAGCCGTTCTTCTGAGTCTGCCTGCAGATACTGAACTTAGCCATCTTATTTACAAAGCTCTAAAAGATGAGTAACAACCTCTGATTCTTAGAGGGTAGTCTCATCTGAAATATCCTACTCCATCTAGGAGATGTGGGAATACTAATAGTTGCCATTAAGTGAGCACTTTCTGTGAGCTGAGTGCTTTATAAACTCATTCAAGACTCTCTTGGTTGCAGAAGACAAAAATCCCAATTCAAACGGGCTTAGGCAAAAGGGGGATTATTTGGAAGGATCCTGTTGTGTCTCGTTTGAAGAAGTTCAACAAGTGTGACCGCCAGAAGGATAGCGTCTCAGCTGGGCTTGTCAAACAGCTGAAGCCAAAGACGGGAGTAAAGCTCAGAGAGAGAGAGAGAGAGAGAGAGAGAGAGAGAGAGATTGAGATTGTGTGAGAGAGAGATTGTGTGTGTGTGTGTGTGTGTGTGTGTGTGTGTGTGTGTGTGTCACCCTCATCATCTCTACCTGTAGTCCAGCCTCCTGCCCTTCCTGGGGAACCTAGCTGCTCTCTAACTCAGTTTCACTTCTTGGGACTCCTACCACCCGCGAAAGACAAACTCTTTTTCCCAATTCTCATTCTGGTGGCTCACGCCTGTAATCCCAGCATGTTGGGAGGCCGAGGTAAGCGGGTCATGAGGTCAGGAGATGGAGACCGTCCTGGCCAACATGGTGAAACCCCGTCTCTACTAAAAATACAAAAATTAGCTGGGTGTGGTGGCGGGTGCCTGTAATCCCAGCTACTCAGGAGGCTGAGGCATGAGAATCACTTGAACCCAGGAGGCGGATGTTGCAGTGAGCTGAGATCATGCCACGACGAAGCGTGACTCTGTCTCAAAAAAAAAAAAAAAAAGTCATGGGAAAACTGCTCCAACGAGGGCCTGGTCAGCTCTTGGACAGCAGACTCTGTAGAAACACGGTGAAAGGAAGATTTCGCATGCGGAGGGGAAGAGTGTTGGGTAAACGATTCCAAACATATTTTCTACTCTCACATTCCTTACTACCTTTCAGGTAGCTGATAGAATTTGCATTCTGGAAATTATGAAACTACTTCCTAGAGGATAAGAGGCTTGACAGAAATCACACAGTAACTGGCAGAGCCAAGGTTTGAATCCCAGTCTGCTAGTTGAAAATCCCTTGCTTGTAACTCATACAGCATGTTGCTCCCTCCCTCCCTCCCTCTTTCTCTTTTCTTTCTTTTCTTTCTTTCTTTCCTCTTTCTTTCCTGTCTCTCTTTTCTTTTTTTCTTTTTCCTTCCTCCCTCCCTTCCTTCCTTCTTTTTGTCCCTTCCCTTCCCTTTTCCTTTTCCTTTCTTCTTTCTTTTCTTTTCTTTCTCCGTCTCACTCTGTTGCCCAGGCTGGAGTGCAGTGGCATAATCTTGGCTCACTGCAACCTCCACCTCCTAGGTGCAGGCGATTCTCCTGCCTCATCCTCCCCAGTAGCTGGGATTACAGGTGTGTACCATGATGGCTGGCTAGTTTTTGTATTTTTAGAAGAGACGGGGTTTCACCATGTTGGCTAGGCTGGTCTCTAACTCCTGACCTTAGGTGATTTGCCTGCCTCGGCCTCCGAAAGTGCTGGGATTACAGGCGTGAGCCACTGCACCTGGCCCAGCACGTTGCTTTTCCATATAATAGAAAAGGGAACCAGCAGATAGATGTCAAGTTGGAAAACAGAAATGGTAGCAAAATAGTGGAAAAATCTAATTTTCTCCCCAGTAACCGTGAATAATAGCACCTTATTTTTTCACAGAATAGTCTAAAGCCATACCAGCTCTTCGGAAAATGAACAACCTTTCCTCCTTCCTGCAGTGGCCACAAAGGGGATCTCGGTTTAAAATCTCTGAAAGGCTGCCTGCGGACTCACAGGATAAAGGCAGCATCATTCTCTGATGGCGCAGACTGCAAAATTAGATGGACCTGAGAGCCAGAGGGATGCTCATTTCTTAAGGCACTGCCAATGAATCAGAGCCCCTCTGTCTACTAACGTGGCAGACAACAGTTCTGCAAAAAAAGGAAAAAGAGAAAGAAGAAAGCAGGAGAGTCTGTGCCAGGTTCCATACTCCTTATCTTCCACACGTGACCTCCTGTGGCTTTGAGAGCCTGCTCACCGTCTCCTCCAGGAGGCAAGGAGAATTCAGAGTAGTGGTTACCATTAGGATGCACAGAAATACAAAGATGCTGGAATTGGTTTTGCTGAGCCTTCTAGGCTAATTCAGTGGGTTGCTTTTCATCTCCTGTTTACAGAATTTGAGTCTTAAAAGAGGAGCACGGCAGTCACCGCTTTATAACACCGTCAGATACAGGCTGTGGCTCCAGTGCCCAGTTCACCAGTGCCCAGTTCACCAGTGCCCAGTTCACCAGTGCCCAGTTCAGAAACTCCAGTAGGGGCAGATTAAACACAGTCGCCGCTTTATAACACTTTAGGATGCAGGCTGTGTGTGTATAGAATTTGAGTCCTAAAAAGGGCCACAACAGTCACTGCTTTATAACACCTTTAGACGTAAGCTGTAGCTCCAGTGCTCCGTTCAGAAACTCTAGTGGGGTAGATTAAATGCAGACATTTTTGGGAGTGATTAGTTCTGTTTTTAATCCACATACAGCTTGGAATGGAAAGTAGCCACCTTTTAATTTTTTTATTATTACTTTTTTTTCTTCTTTTTTTTTTTTTAGATGGAGTCTCGCTCTGTCACCAGGCTGGAGTGCGATGGCACCATCTCAGCTCACTGCAACCTCCGACTCCCTGGTTCAAGTGATTCTCCTGCCTCAGCCTCCCGAGTAGCTGGGATTACAGGCATGCGCCACCACACCCAGCTAATTTTTGTATTTTTAGTAGAGATGGGGTTTCACCATGTTGGGCAGGATGGTCTTGATCTCTTGACCTCATGATCCACCTGCCTCAGCCTCCCAAAGTGCTGGGATTACAGGCATGAGCCATCGCACCTGGCCTAATTTTTTTTTTTTTTTTAAGACAGAGTATGTCTCTGTCACCCAGGCTGGAGTGCAGTGGCGCAATCTTGGCTCACTGCAGCCTCCGCCTCCTGGGCTCAAGTGATTCTCATGCCTCAGCCTCCGGAGTAGCTGGAACTATAGGCATGTACTAGCACACACAGCTAATTTTTTTAGTATTTTTAGTAGAGACGGAGTTTCGTCATGTTGGTCAGACTGGTCTTGAACTCCTGGCCTCAAGTAATCCACCGTCAGCCTTGCAGCGTGCTGGGATTATAGGTGTGAGCTACTGCCCCCCCGGCCAACCACGTTTTTATTTTAAAAAGTGTCTAGGGACAGTGCCAGAGTGATTCTTTCAGCACATTTCTGATTAGCCAGGTAGTGAAGGTATTTTTGTGTTTCTTAAAAAAACCTTAACTTCTTGTAGGACCCATGATTCTTCCAGTTGCAAAACAATCTTTCTATATGACTCATGATCAGAGGTTAGATGTCAAATATTAGGGTGTGTGTTGAGAATGGACTTGCCTGATAGCACCAGTGCTTCAGAGGAGTTTTTAAACTCTGCAAAATGAATTATAGTACATTTCCCCAACTTCAGTACCTTATTAAAACAAGCAAAAGTATTCCAGCCCGAAAAAAGTCTGGCACATAGTTTATCTATCTTGGAGACTGTGACATGTAAGATTGTGTGAGTCTTATTTGTTTGCTGGAAGAAAAAAGCGATACCTTCAGCAGAGACAGTTCTGGTAGGATGCCAGGTTTAATGTAAGAGAGAAAGGGATAGAAACCCTTTCTCTGAGATAGGATCATGCAGACTTCTTCATATGTGAGACCTAAGTGTATAACTTAGCCCCTTTTTTGCCTTTCTTAGCTGCATGTCATATGTTTTAGGGTGTTTGTCTAGAACACAGTAGCTATGGTCCCATTAGCATGTCACCATAACATGACATGACCTGCAGTATCACAGAATTCCATGTGAGCTGTGTCGAAAAAGATCAGTCCTTTCTAGTGGTCAGTTGCCTACAGAGGCCTCTGTTGCACTTTTTACTCCACGATTGAAACTTTTTTAGAATTTACTGATCCCATGTAGCATCTTGGATATTAGACTCTGTTTAAGCCAAATAGAGAATACTTACAGAAAGCATGAAGCTGTGATTTTGAACCACTGCTCATGGTTGGGCCTGAAGTTAGAGGAATGGTTATGAGCGCACTTATTCAGAGCGGTAGCCTCAGCACCAGCACTCTTACAGGTGCACCATGATACTTTTAATCAGTGGGCAATATTTGTCAAGGTCCCACTGTGCCATAGCCTTGCTTAGGTGCTGTAGGTGAGGTGACCATATGATTTATCACCAGAGTCACTTTGAGAAGGAGAGGGAGCTGTTAATAACTATACTGAATCATAAACGCAGCGTGTCCCCGGTAAACCAAATGGATGATTGGCTCAGCTATGGGCTCTATAGGAGTGCTGTTCATATCCTTGGTCCCCATTCTAAAGGATACTTATAACCCTGCTAAAGGGCTAATACTCATACACTAAACCAGTGGTCCCCAACCTTTTTGGCACCAGCGAGCAGTTTTTTGGAAGACAGTTTTTCCATGGACCAGGGAGGGGGACATGGTTTCAGGATGAAACTGTTCCACCTCAGATAATCAGGCCTTAGTTAGATTCTGTTAAGGAGCTTGCAACCTAGATCCCTCGCGTGTGCAGTTCACAGTAGGGTTCGCGCTCCTATGAGAATCTAATACCGCTGCTGATCTGAGGAGGGGGAGCTCAGAAGATCATGCTCACTCACTTGCCCACCGCTCACCTCCTGCTGTGCGGCCCAGTTCCCAACAGGCCACGGACTGGTGCTGGCCCACGGCCCAGGGCTTGGGGTCCCCTGCACTAAACAATTCAAGAACATTATGTTTAAAAAAGTCCTCTTCTGTAATTAACCCATTGCCCCCCCCCCCAGAACATTATGTTTAAAACAGTCCTCTTCTGTAATTAACCCATTGCCCCCTCCGCAGAACATTATGTTTAAAACAGTCCTCTTCTGTAATTAACCCATTGCCCCCCCCAGAACATTATGTTTAAAACAGTCCTCTTCTGTAATTAACCCATTGCCCCCCCCAGAACATTATGTTTAAAACAGTCCTCTTCTGTAATTAACCCATTGCCCCCCCAAATAAATTTCTCTCCTGCTAAATCACTCCCAAGCAGACGTATGCAAGCATTTCTCATCTTTAAAAATTACTCCCTTTACGCCATCTTTTGCCCTATTTTTCTTCCTTTCTCATAGCAAAAACTTCTTGAAAAAAAAAGTCTATACCAGGGTCAGCAAGCTTTCTGTTAAGGGCTGGATAGTAAATATTTTAGCCTTTACTGACCATATGGTCTCTGTTGTAACTATTTATCTCTGCCATTGTGTGGCAAAAGTCCCCATAAACAATACTTAAACAAATGAGTTTGGTTTAAGTATTATTAATGAGTTTCGGTCCAAAAACACATTGTTTACAAAAACAGGTGGCAGACGTGGCAGACTGGCTTCAGCCCACAGGCCATCATTTGTGGCCTGCTCTGTGATCACAGCCTCTACTTCATGTCATCGCTGTCCATTCCCTTGACTGCATTGAGACTGCTCTTGTCAAGGTCACCAACAACTTCCCTGTTGTCAAAATCAGTAGCAGCTGTCTTCATTTTTTTTTTTGAGATGGAGTCTTGCTCTGTCGCCTAGGCTGGAGTGCAATGGCACCATCTTGGCTCACTGCAGCTTCCGTTTCCTGGGTTCAAGCAATTCTCCTACCTCAGCCTCCTGAGTAGCTGGGATTACAGGTGCACACCACCATGCCTGGCTAATTTTTGTATTTTTAGTAGAGACAGGGGTTTCACCATGTTGGTCAGGCTGGTCACAAACTCTTGACCTCATGATCCACATGAGTTTTTTGTTGTTGTTGTTGTTTTGAGATGGAGTTTTGCTCTTGTTGCCCAGGCTGGAGTGCAGTGGCACGATCTTGGCTCACTGCAACCTCTGCCTCCTGGGTTCACGCGATTATCCTGTCTCAGCCTCCTGAGTAGCTGGGATTACAGGCGCCTGCCACCACGCCCGGCTAATTTTTGTATTTTGAGTAGAGACAGGGTTTCATCATATTGGTCAGGCTGGTCTTGAACTCCTGACCTCAGGTCATCCACCCGCCCTGGCCTCCCAAAGTGCTGGGATTATAGGCCTGAGCCACTGCGCCCAGCCTCTTACATGAGTGTTTAACAACAGAAGGCACAATCACTCTTTCCTTCTCCTTCAAACACTTCTGTTTGGCTTCTGTAACACCCATCGTCCCTGATTTTTTCTCATGTCACTGGTGGTTTTTCTCTGCATCTCTGCTTTTTTTTATTTTAGACTTCTGAATATTGGCATGCCCAAGGGTCAGCCCTGTGCCATCTTTTCTTCTCTTGTGTATTCTGTCTTCCTAGGTGACTTCTAATCTTACAGACTTACATATCATCTCTAAAGTAATGACTTCTGAATTTAAATCCCAACCTATCACCTCTCTTCCAAGCTCCAGAATCTTATGTCCAACTTAATGTCTCTACTTGATCTCAAGTAAGCTATCTTTTTTTTTGGTCGGGACAGAGTTTTGCTCTTATTACCCAGGTTGGAGTGCAGTGGTGCTATCTCAGCTCACTGCAACCTCCGCCTCCTGGGTTTAAGTGATTCTCCTGCCTCAGCCTCCCGAGTAGCTGGGATGACAGGTGCCCGCCACCACGCCCATCTAATTTTTGTATTTTTAGTAGAGACGGGGTTTCACCATGTTGGCCAGGCTGTCTTGAACTCTTGACCTCAGGCGATCCGCCCGCCTCAGGCTCCCAAAGTACTGGGATGACAGGCGTGAGCCACCATGCCCAGCTTACTGTCTGTATTTCTACCAACACTCCGGTCACAACCATGAAGTAATTTCTAAGAAGTTCCAGACTTTCTCTACATTTCTGCTTTTCTTCTGAGCCCTTAGCAGAATCCCCCTTAGCACTCTGTTCACAGCAATACAGGCTTTTTCCAGCCTTCACTTCAAGACTGTTCCACATCTGTCCATCACCCAGCTCCAAAGCCATGTTTTCAGGTATTTACTATAGCAGTAGCCCACTTCTTGATACCAGTTTTCTTAGTCTGTTTTATGTTACTGTAACAGAATAGTACAGACTGAATCATTTATAAAGAAAAGAGATTTCTTATAATTCTGGAGGCTGGGAAGTCCAAGGTCAAGGGGCCCACATCAGGCAAGGGCTTCTTACCGCATCTTCCCGCGGCGAGGGCTTTCTCACTGCGTCGTCCCGCGGCGAGCGCCTTCTCACCATGTCGTCCTGCGGCGAGGGCCTTCTCACTGCGTCGTCCCATGGCAGAGTTGGAAGGCAAGAAAGTGTGTGCATGCACGAGAAAGTGGCTGAACAGATCCTTTTATCAAGAACCCACTCCCGAGATAATGCCATTCATTTGTTCGTGAGGGCAAACCCCTCATGACCTGGTCACCTCGTAAAGGCCCCACCTGCCAACACCATTGCATTGGGGATTATGTTTCCAACACATGAACTTTGGGGATGCATTCCAGCCATAGCACAGGCACCCGTAACGTATTGCAGATGGGACTCTTCACTTCCAGCCCCGCCACCACCACACACACCTGCCTGTCAAGCCCGTCCTCCTCCTGCATTCCCTGGTTCAGACAGTGAACCCTGGCCTTGGCTTTTCAACCAAAACCCGGGCGTCATCCTTGGTTCTCCCTCTCCCTCATCACCCACACACAGTCCATCAGTGAGTCCTACACATTGTACCTTCCTGGAAACCCTGAATCGCTCGGCGTCTTCCCGTCAGCACCGGCTGCCTCTTCTAGGCCTCCACCGTCTCGTGGACACTGCAGCAACTTCTCACAGAGCTTTCACTCCCGCTTTCCCTCCTGCCCCTGCACAGCCCCTTTGCCACACAGCAGCCAGGACAGTCTTATACAAGTAAGCCATACATCTGTCCCTTGTTTAGACCCTTCAGTGGCTTCTCATTGGCACTTAGAGCAGAATCCTTATGCTTTGAGGCCTCCGTGCTCTGGCTCGTGCCCACCTCTCCAGATTATTTCCAGACACTTCCCGCTGCAATATTGCACTACCACCTACTGTCTGTCTTTTCGGACCTCCAAAACACCGAGGTCTTTTCTCTGTCAGGATCTTCACATTTGCTTTTCTCTCTGCTGAAAATCCTCTTACTCCAGGCTGGGCGCGGCGGCTCACGTCTGTAATCCCAGCACTTTGGGAGGCCGAGGCGGGCAGATCACGAGGTCAGGAGATCGAGACCATCCTGGCCAACACGGTGAAACCCCGTCTCTACTAAAAATACAAAAAATTAGCCAGGTGTGGTGGCAGGTGCCTGTAGTCCCAGCTACTCGGGAGGCTGAGGCAGGAGAATTGCTTGAACCTGGGAGGCAGAGGTTGCAGTGAGCTGAGATCACGCCACTTAACTCTAGCCTGGGCAACAGAGTGAGACTCCATCTCAAGAAAAAAAAAATCATCTTACTCCAAATCTACAAATTCTCACACCTCCTCATCCTGCAGGTCCCGATTTGTGTGCCCTTTCTCAGGAGACCTTCTGTGACCACCATCTCCCTTATTCTCATCACTGCATAAGTCCTTCACCACACCTGTCAATTCACCACACTTAGGAATTATCTTGTTTCTTTATTTTGTTGTTTTTCCAGGATCTCCTCCCCCTTACTTCTCAAAGTAAGTTCATTCCTTGAGGACAGAGAGAGAGACCATACTGTCTTGTTTACCATTGGATTCCCAATGCCTAGAATCATGCCTGGTATATGGGAGGCATTCAGTAAATACTCATTGAGTGATTGAAGGAGTGAATTAAGGAGATGCTGACTCGTGCCTAGAACTATAACTGCCTCAGGAATTCATAGTCTTTAGTCACGGACAGTCCAGTGCATGTGGTCTATACACATCCGTGGCCTGCTGACACGCTCACAGACACTTTAGCTGTAGGTAGTCTTTACTCACGGACGGTCCAGTGCCTGTGGTCTATACACGTCTGTGGGCTGCTGGCACTCACAGGTACTTTAGCTGTAGGTAGTCTTTACTCACGGATGGTCCAGTGCATGTGGTCGATACACGTCTGTGGGCTGCTGGCACTCACAGGTACTTTAGCTGTGGGTAGTCTTTACTCACGGACGGTCCAGTGCATTTGGTCTGTACACGTCTGTGGCCTGCTGGCACTCACAGGAACTTTCTGGTCTCCACATGTCACAACTGCCCTCATGTTGCTTCCCCTCCTAGCAGAAGCTGCAGCTGTGTTGTAATACTTTCATTGTGTAGCATCTGTCCTTGTAGGTTTTTATTTCAGTGGAAATGCTGGGCTCACCATTAGCTTTTTGCTTGTTTTTTTGAGACAAGATCTCGCTCAGTCACCAGGCTGGAGTGCAGTGGCATGATCACAGTTCACTGCAGCCTTGACCTCCCAGGCTCAAGTAATCTTCCCACCTCAGCCTCCCAAGTAGCTGAGACTACTGGTGTGCGCCACCATGCCTGGCTAACTTTTTTTTTTGCAGAGACCGAGTCTTGCCATGTTCCCCAGGCTAGTCTTGAACTCCTGGGCTCAAGCAATCCTCCTGCCTCAGCCTCTGAAGTGCTGGGATTACAGGTGTGAGCCACCATTAGCTTTCTGCCTGCCTGCCTGCCTGCCTGCCTGCCTGCCTTCCTTCCTTCCTTCCTTCGTTCCTTCCTTCCTTCCTTCCTTCCTTCCTTCCTTCCTTTCTTTCTCTTTCTCTTTCTTTCTTTTTTTCTTTCTTTCTCTTTCTTTTTTTCTTTCTTTCTCTTTCTTTCTTTCTTTCTTTCTCTTTCTTTGTCTCTCTTTCTCTCCCTTCTTCTTTCATTCTTTCTCTTTCTTTTCTTTTCTTTCCTTTTGGAGTCTCGCTCTGTCACCCAGGCTGGAGTGCAGTGGCGCAATTTCGGCTCACTGCAAGCTCTGCCTCCCGGGTTCAAGCAATTCTTCTGCCTCAGCTTCCTGAGTAGCTGGGACTACAGGTGCGTGCCACTGTGCCTGGCTAGTTTTTTGTATTTTTAGTAGAGATGGGGTTTCACCGTGTTAGCCAGGATGGTCTTGATCTCCTGACCTCGTGATCTGCCCGCCTTGGCCTCCCAAAGTGCTGGGATTACAGGCGTGAGCCACTGTGTCCGGCCCAGTGTTCCTTTCTAAGTGCATTTCATTGGTTTTCAAATGGCTTACTATGAAAGTCTTTAAGATTTGTTGCAGTTCTGGAGTCCCCATTCACGGTTCAGGTTTTTTTGAATGCACAATCTGGAACTTCCAAGTCCAGAGCTTTCCCTTGCCCCAATTTAGAGCTACCCCTGTCCCTCTGTGTGAGTCTTTGCATACACCCACACACAGAGATCTACTTGTCCTATTTGCTGTTATCAATAACATGTACAGTAATGACTGAGGTAGAGGGGAATCATTTAGTTTTAAGTTGAAACTTTGTGAGGAACATTGGTAAGAGTCCCGAGTGTTTACCTGTTCGCAGCCACTGGACTCTATAGGTCTCTACTATTTTGGTCCAGAAAAATTGTTGGCATAAGTACAATGAATCAGGAGAGCTTCATGGAAATTTCTTTTGTGCCTAGCATTGATTACAGTTAGTGACTGGAGCTGTCTCTAGCCACTTTTTGTTTTTCATGTATTTCCCTTACTCTAGGCGCTTGAAGAGGCTCAGAAAGCTATCCAACAACTCTTTGGCAAAATCAAAGATATCAAAGACAAAGCTGAAAAATCAGAGCAAATGGTGAGTTCTGGTTTCTTCCTAACCTTTTTGCACCAAAAGAGGAAGTGAGCTTCTCATCTAGGCATTCTAATAATGAGCTTTTTCTAATAATGGCACCTCCTGCCAACCAGAGTCATCTGCATCTCTAAAGCAAGCCCCCTATGAATGCGTTCAGATCAATTCAAGGGGAGCTGCTGGTCAGTGGTGGCTCACCATCTCTGCTGCCCTGTGTTTGCAGCCCTAGTTTTAAATAGGCAACTTTTTTGTTTTGTTTTGTTTTGTTTTTTGGGTATTTTTTTTTTTTTTTTTGAGATGGAGTCTTGCTCTGTCGCCAGCCTTGGAGTGCAGTGGTGCGATCTTGGCTCACTGCAACCTCCGCCTCCCAGGTTCAAGCGATTCCCCTGCCTCAGCCGCCCAAGTAGCTGGGATTACAGGCGCCTGCCACCACGCCCGGCTAATTTTTTGTATTTTTAGTAGAGAAAGGGTTTCACCATGTTGGCCAGGATGGTCTCAATCTCTTGACCTCATGATCCGCCCGCCTCGGCCTCCCAAAGTGCTGGGATTACAGGTGTGAGCCACTGTGCCCAGCTGCAACTTTTTTTTTTCTCCTTTCTGAAAATAGTTTCCTAGTCATTTTGGATTTTCCTTTCTCTAACATTTCTTGGTATTGGTATCATGCATTTCTCCATCGAGATGTACGGTATGTAGCTCGATGCACGCTGAGAATGGTCCTGGAGCCGGGAGGAGGGAGGGATGGAGGGAGGAGGGATGTCCCCGCCCATGATCTGTGTATGTGGTTTTGGTTGAGTTCTCCCCTGACAAATTTGTGTCCCCCGGTGTTGTGCTCAGAAGCTTGCCCCGAAGACCGAGAATCCAGCATTCACCTTCTCCTCCTCCATGGGAGGCGCTGGGAAGTGCTGGATCCTGGGTTCAGATTCAGACTCAATAATGTCCTGTCTGTCAGTTGTCTCAGAATTCCAGCTTCTTCAACTGTAAAATAAGAATAATGGCATTTGCCTCACAGGGTTGTTGTGAGAATTAAACGTATGAAGAGCACTGAGCATAGTCCTAGGGACCTGGATTTTCTGTGGTCCTTCCCCAAGGGTGCACCACACCCAGCAGCACCCAGGGGCCCTCGTCCTTCACCAAGGATGCACCACACCCAGCAGCACCCAGGGGCCCTCGTCCTTCCCCAAGGGTGCACCACACCCAGCAGCACCAGGGGCCCTCAAAGCGTGAAGATCAGCGAGAGTATCCGATGCTGCTTTTGCTGGAGTTGATTGCATTTATTGATATCCTTATGATGCTAATCTGTGTTCTGGAGTATGCTTCCTCTTCCAACCGAGGGGGTTTGCAGTGACAGTTTACTCCCAAGTTATGAGATGTCTTATTTTAAAGCAGCTTGCTTTCCTGGACAGTGCTGTGCTGAAGGGAGGAAGAGGTGGGAGTGAGGGGAGAAGTGATCTTTGTTGAGCTCTTTCAGTGCCAGCAGTGTGCTGGTTCCTTTGTGTCAGCACTCTAATTTAGCCCTCACCACAACCTTATGAACTAGGATTTATGTTCATTATTATCTTTGCGATTACCCATCTTATAGATGAGAAAACTGAGACTCAGTGAGGCTGAGAAACTTGTTCTAGGATGCATCGTTGGTGAGTGGTAGAGCTGGGGTTCAGCCCTAGATCTGTCTGACTCTACAACCTCCCATTTCATGCTCTACCCGTTTTCGCAGCCCGTGGGCAACAGTTGAGGCAAATCAACTATGGGCATTCTGTCTCACAGGTGGTCTCGTGTAAGTCAGTTGAGGCGAATCAACCATGGGCCTTCTGTCTCGCAGATGATCTCGTGTAGGTTTGACCTGAGTACCCCTGGTGTGCCCTGCCATTGATGGCTTTGTTTAGGGAAAAATCAGTGGTTCAGTTTGTCTAGAGAAACACAGGCTGTGGGATGGGGAGTGACGGGAGATCCTGGGAATAAAGAGACCAGTCAGCTCCAGTGCAGAGCAGTGAGGGCCTGAACAAGGAGTAGAGAGAAGGGATAGAGTCTTGAGATGAAGCAGAGGGAGAATATTTAGGACATAGAGAGAAGGGATAGAGTCTTGAGATGAAGCAGAGGGAGAATATTTAGGACATAGAGAGAAGGGATAGAGTCTTGAGATGAAGCAGAGGGAGAATATTTAGGACTTGATGCAGGGACCAGGAAGAGTCATAGATGATGTGACTTTGAACACAGTGGTTAAAGACCCCTGATGCAGCCGGGCACGGTGGCTCATGCCTGTAATCCCAGCAGTTTGGGAGGCCAAGGAGGGGGGATCACTTGAGGCCAGGAGTTCAAGACCAGCCTGGCCAACATGGCAAAACCGTGTCTCTACTAAAAATACAAAAATTAACCAGGCGTCGTGGAGCACACCTGTAATCCCAGCTACTCTGGAGGCTGAGGCAGAGAATCGCTTGCCTGGGAAGTGGAGGCTGCAGTGAACCAAGATCGCACTACTGCAGTACAGCCTGGGCGACAGAGCGAAACTCTATCTCAAAAAATAAAAAAATAAATAAATAAATAAAGACTCCCTATGTTAGACTGAAGCTAAAAACGCTGGAAGAGATACAGAGATTTTTTTGTAGGAAAAAGGATGCTGATTTCAGAGTTGCAAGTGGGTGATCAGGTTACAGGGCCAATCTTCAGCCTTCTATATCTAATTTATTATACCACTCCTGATTTATTTATTTTTATTTTTTTTGCCCCAAATTTAAGTATTTGGTAAAGTGGTGGTGGTCTTAACCTTTTTTTTTTTTTTTAATTCATTGGAAACAGAGATTGTTTGGAGGTTACAGGAGAGAAGGCTTGATGGGGAAGTCCCCATGAAAGAGGCTTTTTATAGCTAAGATCCAGGTAAGGCTTGCAGGATCATAGGTGTGGAATTGAGCTGTGCAGGTCGTAACCTGTATGAGTTCACCTAGGGTGATCAGACCCTGAAAGAGCAGGGCACACGAACTCACGGCCGAGTGTCTCACTTCAGTGGGATGTATCTATCCACGAACTCACGGCCGAGTTTCTCACTTCAGTGGGATGTATCTATCCACGAACTCACGGCCGAGTGTCTCACTTCAGTGGGATGTATCTATCCACGAACTCACGGCCGAGTGTCTCACTTCAGTGGGATGTATCTATCCACGAACTCACGGCCGAGTATCTCACTTTAGTGGGATGTATCTACCCACGAACTCCCTGCCGAGTTTCTCACTTTAGTGCGATGTATCTATCCAAGAACTCACGGCCAAGTTTCTCACTTTGGTGGGATGTATCTATCCACGAACTCCCTGCCGAGTTTCTCACTTCAGTGGGATGTATCTATCCACGAACTCACGGCCAAGTTTCTCACTTCAGTGGGATGTATCTATCCACGAACTCACGGCCGAGTTTCTCACTTCAGTGGGATGTATCTATCCACGAACTCACGGCCGAGTTTCTCACTTCAGTGGGATGTATCTATCCACGAACTCACGGCCGAGTGTCTCACTTCAGTGGGATGTATCTATCCACGAACTCACGGCCGAGTTTCTCACTTTAGTGGGATGTTATCTATCCACGAACTCACGGCCGAGTGTCTCACTTCAATGGGATGTATCTATCCACGAACTCCCTGCTGAGTTTCTCACTTTAGTGGGATGTAACTATCCACGAACTCCCTGCCGAGTTTCTCACTTTAGTGGGATGTATCTATCCACGAACTCACGGCCGAGTATCTCACTTTAGTGGGATGTATCTATCCACGAACTCCCTGCCGAGTTTCTCACTTTAGTGGGATGTATCTATCCACGAACTCACGGCCGAGTATCTCACTTTAGTGGGATGTATCTATCCACGAACTCCCTGCCGAGTTTCTCACTTTAGTGCGATGTATCTATCCAAGAACTCACGGCCGAGTTTCTCACTTTAGTGGGATGTATCTATCCACGAACTCCCTGCCGAGTTTCTCACTTTAATGAGGATATATCTATCCACGACCTCAACGGCCGAGTTTCTCACTTTAATGAGGATGTATCTATCCACAAACTCACGGCCAAGTTTCTCACTTTAATGAGGACGTATCTATCCATGAACTCATGGCCAAGTTACTCACTTTAATGGGATGTATCTATCCAGTGACTACAGTATTTGTGTTTGGTATCCAGGGCACTCCCTTCCTTCCAGGTATCACAGAACCTGGGCAACCAAATTGCTATTAAGAAACTTTCGCTATGTGCACCGGAAGACAAAGGTCCTCTTTTCCTTGCCTAATGCAGCCATGGCTCGTGGTGCCAAGAAGCATCTGAAGCGGGTAGCAGCTCCAAAGCATTGGATGCTGGATAAATTGACCGGTGTGTTTGCTCCTCGTCCGTCCACCAGTCCCCACAAGTTGAGAGAGTGTCTTCCCCTCATCATTTTCCTAAGGAACAGACTTAAGAAGATTTGCATGCAGCGGTTCATTAAGATCGATGGCACGGTCCGAACTGATATAACATACCCTGCTGGGTTCATGGATGTCATCAGCATTGACAAGACAGGAGAGAATTTCCATCTGATCCGTGACACCAAAGGTTGCTTTGCTGTACACCTGAGGAGACCAAGTACAAGTTGTGCAAAGTGAGAAAAATCTTTGTGGGCACAAAAGGAATCCCTCATCTGGTGACTCATGATGCTCGCACCATCCGCTACCCTGACCCCTCATCAAGGTGAATGACACCATTCAGATTGATTTGGAGACTGGCAAGATGACCGATTTCATCACGTTCGACACTGGCAAGCCATATATGGTGACTGGAGGTGCTCACCTGGGAAGAGTTGGTGTGATCCCCAACAGAGAGAGGTACCCGGGATCTTCTGACGTGGTTCATGTGAAAGACACCAGTGGCAACAGCTTTGGCACTCAAGTTTCCAACATTTTCACTATTGGCAAGGGCAACAAACGATGGATTTCTCTTCCCCGAGGAAAGGGTATCCGCCTCACCATTGCTGAAGAGAGAGACAAGAGACTGGCGGCCAAACAGAGCAGCGGGTGAAATGGTCCGTGGGTGACATGTTAGATCTTTGTACGTAATTAAAAATAATGTGGCATGATAAAACACACACACACACACACACACACACACACATTTCTTAGTCAGCATGGACCAAGAAACACAGTGGATGATTTCACCTGGGTGTTAGTAAAGTTGGGGAATTTTTCCAACTTCTCTATTGAATATGCTTTTCTGGTGACTGAAATATACTTGCATTCCCAGAGACAGCTTCTCTTCTCTTGGACCTGCTGAAACAACACTGTCAGGCTCTTACTCCCCAAATTGCCTTCTCACTCCCTGAAGACTGCTCCTGCCCTCCTAGTAACTTACATGTTAAGCGTATGTTACAGAGCTTATATTTCAATCTTCTTGAGATTTGAAAGTCTTCTTTGCTGGAAGCTCAGGCCCTCATTCCATTAGTAAAGACCGTCTGAGTACCTAGTACTGACTGATAGGTGTTTTATATGGCCCAGCGGCTTCATCACCAGAAGGCACACTTTCCTCACCTTGTTCAAGGAAAGGTGCTGTGCTTACCTCCTCTGTCCTGTGTGCTCAATACTGAATTGCTGTTTGGATCATTTCATTTGGGGTAAAAAAATAAAGTTCATTTCATGCTCACAACTGAAGGTTTTATAACCCTGAGTAAAGTCCAAAGAGATGCCACATTAAATTTTAAATGCCTGGTTGGAAATTATTTTTATTTTGTATTGTGAGAATGTTTGCTAACCTGAGATTTTTCCCTGCTTCATCTGCATTCGTTTCTTACAGAGCTACTTGCAGAAGTGTTTTACATCTTTCTTGACCGTCTTCCTTTCTTTCTTGTGGTTTTTCAATGTTTAGGTGAAAGAAATCACCCGTGATATTAAGCAATTAGATCACGCCAAACGCCACCTGACCACCTCAATCACCACACTGAACCACCTGCACATGCTGGCAGGAGGTGTCGACTCCCTCGAGTAAGCAATGCCAACTTTCTCTTTTGGGGCCACGGGAAATGTATCGCATAGAGAAAATGGTGTTGTCGCCTATTTACTTCTCAGCCAGGAAAGTCTCACCATCCTGCCCCACTTTCTGCAAATTGGCTTCAAGTGTTCAGTCACCATTTTTGCTTTGTGCCCTCTGGTGTTCAGAACCTAACAAACACTGGCAGCTAGTCAAAAGGGGACCCCAGAAGCCTTTCAGGACGACTCCAAGAATATGGCCCATCTTCAGGCTGTGGCTCTGTACCATCAAGGCAGACAGAGTGACACAGGGCCATATTCACTCCAGGCAGACAGAGTGACACAGGCCCATATGCACTCCAGGCAGACAGAGTGACGCGGGCCCATATTCACTCCAGGCAGACAGAGTGACACAGGCCCATATTCACTCCCTGCTGCTTCTGCCTCAGCAGGTTTCCTGCTTGCGTTGGGCTGAGTTGCACTGTCATGGAAGAGACCCTATGAGACAGAACTCAATCATTCAAACCACTTTTTTTTATAAAGTAGATTTCCGTTTGGCTTGTAGAGGGAATGATACATCAGAACATTAGAAATAGAGAAGGAAGAGCTGGTGATTTACTACAAAGGAGCAATCTAAAGCCTCCTTTACTAGCAAGATTCTGACACTCCAGCTCACCTCTGTGGCCCGTCTCAGGCTGGGGACTCCCCCTGCTCCAGCCTCAGTGTGATTCCGTATGTGGACAGGGAAAGCGCATCGTCATAGAAACTGAGATGCAGCATTCAAAGTCCTGGGTGGGGGAAGTGGGAGAGTGCCTTGAGGGAAAGAGGAGGAGGGGCGGGCCCCTTCCTGACCTCTCTAGGTATTGGATGAGCTCCAGGGATGCCTGGTCCACTCTCCTGTGAGCAGTGAGAGCAGCGGCCAGAGGGAGGCCAGAGGGCGGTCACATTTGTTCCTTCGTGGGGTGGTCGGTGTCCACCAAACCATCAGACCAGGCAGTGGTAAGACTGGGCGGTGGTAAGACCAGGCGGTGGTAAAACCAGGTGGTGGTAGCAACGGAACACCTTGGCTTGAACTTGATCCTGTCTTTTTCTTTTTTCTTTTTTTTTTTTTTTTTTGAGTTGGAGTCTGGCTCTGTCGCCCAGGCTGGAGTGCAGTGGCGCGATCTAGGCTCACTGCAAGCTCCGCCTCCCGGGTTCCCGCCATTCTCCTGCCTCAGCCTCCCGAGTAGCTGGGACTACAGGCGCCCGCCACTAAGCCCGGTTAATTTTTGTATTTTTAGTAGAGACGGGGTTTCGCCGTGTTAGCCAGGATGGTCTCGATCTCCTGACCTTGTGATCTGCCCGCCTCGGCCTCCCAAAGTGCTGGGATTACAGGCTTGAGCCACCGCGCCCGGCCAATCCTGTCTTTTTCAATGCTTCTTATGGAAAATCATAAATTACAAATTTAATGAAATAACCCAACCCTAATGAAAAATTTAGATCTAATAGTTTATATTTCCTCCCTGTGTGTAACTTGATTTTATCAGCATCCTTTTATTTAAGCGTCATTAACCTTAGCAGTAGGGAAAGTAGAGGTCTGTGATACAGACGCCTTAGAACCTACAGATTTCAGTTAATAGGTAAAGTGCTGCTCTTTGTGTATTTTTGTTTTTGTTTTTGAGACGGAGTCTCCCACTGTCACCCTGGCTGGAGTGCAGTGGCACGATCTCGGGTCACTGAAACCTCCGCCTCCCAGGTTCAAGTGAGTCTCTTGCCTCAGCCTCCCGAGTAGCTGGGATTACAGGCATCCACCACCACGCCCAGCTAATTTTGTGTATTTTTAGTAGAGACGGTGTTTCACCGTGTTGGCCAGGATGATCTCGATCTCGTGACTTCGTGATCTGCCCGCCTCGGCCTCCCACAGTGTGGGTATGACAGGCGTGAGCCACCTCGGCCTCCCACAGCGCGGGGATGACAGGCTGAGCCACCGCGCCTGGCCGCACCCTTTGTGTTTGGTTTGCTCATAGGCTGTAATCCTCAGATAGTAACATCCCTACCCCGGTTCTCTGTCCCAAGCTTGCTAATCCCATAATATCCAACCCAAATTCTAAATTCATCGTCTTCCCAGATTCCCCTCCCCACACCAAATGAGAATTCATCACTCACACATTCTTCCTGCCGTAGCACATAATTTGTACTTCTGTTTAGAACATAGTTCATCCTTTTTGATACTAGTTAGATGTGTACTTGACTCTCTCCCTTACTATATGGTGTCACCTTGAGGATTTGGACCAGATCCTGTTTTTTCCTCCCACAACGCACAGCAGCTTATATACTCAGTGCTCAGCGAACGTTGATTCAGCTGAGTTGATATCTGTTTGAGAGCTAGCGTGGGTTGTTCTGTGTCTGTATCTTGCGTCTTTAGTGTTTTTCTAGACTTTTAAACTTATTCTTTCCTTGCAGAGCCATGACCAGGCGAAGACAATACGGAGAAGTTGCTAATCTCCTTCAGGGTGTGATGAATGTCCTGGAGCACTTCCACAAGTATATGGGGATTCCGCAGATCCGGCAGCTTTCCGAAAGGTAAACTGTCACCAGAGGGAAAGTATATGGGGATTCCGCAGATCCGGCAGCTTTCCGAAAGGTAAACTGTCACCAGAGGGAAAGTATATGGGGATTCCGCAGATCCGGCAGCTTTCCAAAAGGTAAACTGTCACCGGAGGGAAAGTATATGGGGATTCCACAGATCCGGCAGCTTTCCGAAAGGTAAACTGTCACTGGAGGGAAAGTATATGGGGATTCCGCAGATCCGGCAGCTAAACTTTCCAAAAGGTAAACTGTCACCGGAAGAAGTGATCTTGCTTTCAGAAAAGGACCTGGTGCTAGGAAGTGCTTAAGCACTTAGCTCAGCGTGTTCACTGCAGAGTCTTAGTGTGTGAAGGAATATCAGATGCTACCTGATCTAACTGTCTGGTGCAGACGTTCCCCCACTTTACCCCTTCCCATGTCTTCCAAAGCTGCCTGTGGTAGATAGTTACAGTTGTATATATGGACAACTCTCAGTTGTCCCCATTTGTGAGAGAAACTGTTCTAGGTATCTATTTCTTTGTAACAAACCAGCACAAAACTTAGTAGCTTAAAACAATAATTGTTTTGCACGTATAATTTGGCCTGGCTCGGGGACCAGCTCATCCCTGCTCCGTGCAGCATTAGCCGAGGCAGCTCAGGAGGGGACTGGAGAATGCATTGGCTCACTCTCATGGCTGGCTCCTTGGTGCTTGCTGTCAGCTGGGAGCTTGGCCAGGCCGTTGCTGGGATTCTTTGTTGTCTTCCACGGGCTGCTTGGACTTCCTCACGGTAAGGTGGCTGGTTCCAAGAATGAGCGTCCCAAGAGAACCAAGCCTTGGAAATTTCATAGCATCACTTCTGCCATAGTCACAAGGCTGCTAAGATTCAAGAGGAAGGAACATAGTCTTCTCCCACCCACTAACGGGAGGAATGTCAAAGTCACATTGTTACAAAAAGCATGTGGGATGGGATAGATTGCTGTGGCGGTCTTTAGAAAATACAGTGAGCCACGGCCGGGTATGGTGGCTCACACCTGTAATCCCAGCACTTTGGGAGGCCGAGGCGGGTGGATCACCCGAGGTCAGGAGTTCGAGGCCAGCCTGGCCAACATGGCGAAACCCCGTCTCTACTAAAAATACAAAAATTATCTGGACATGGTGGCAGGTGCCTGTAATCCCAGCTACTCGGGAAGCTGAGGCAGGAGTCACTTGAACCTGGGAAGTGGAGGTTGCAGTGAGCTGAGATCCTGCCATTGTACTCTAGCCTGGGCGACAGGGTGAGACTCAAAAAAAAAAAAAAATACAGTGAACCACAAAAACTTTAGATACGATAAAAAGATGACTTTCCCCCCAACCTTATTCTTTCCTTCTTATTGCTGTTGAGTTTTAATCCCAGATTCAGATCCAGTGGAAAGGAAAGTAATTTCTCAGAGCGAAGGAGGATGAGGATTCCAAGGGAGGACGAGGAGGAGTTGATGCACCACCTTTTCTGTTAGAAGGAGGGGCAGGAAGAACACTGAGAAGGCAGAGACCGTCACAATTGACAAATTCTAACCTTCCTTGCAGCAAAGAAGAAATGAAGGCGTTGTTACTGAGCAGCAGCTACGTTTCTGACTCTGCCTTCTTAATAAGGCCCGAATGCTACAGGCTTCTTTGTTTTCCTTAAGTTTCCTTATTTGTAATTATATAAGTAATACACATAGACTTTAAAAAATAGAGACAGGGTCTCACTCTGTCACCCAGGATGGAGTGTAGTGGCAGAATTACTGCTCACTGCAGCTTGGAACTCCTGGGCTCAAGTGATCCTCCCACCACAGTTTCCCAAGCAGCTGGGACTACAAGCACGCAGCACCTCACCCAACTAACTTTGTTACTTTTTTGTAGAGACAGGGTCTCACTCTGTGGCCCAGGGCTGGTCTTGGGCTCCCAGTGCATCGGGGTTACAGGCGTGAGCCACTGCACCTGGTTCCACATCTTCTATTGTTTAAAAAGGTCAAATATGTATACAGGTGAAACCTAAGTTCCCTTTACCTAGACTTCAGAATCCCATTGTTGTCCTCAGAGGTGGTAATTGTTATCAGTTTAATGGCTATCACTGCGGATTTGTGTGTGTGTATTTACGTAAATCTGTAGTTTAATGGCTATCGCTCCGGATTTGTGTGTGTGTATTTACATAAATCTGTAGTTTCAGTGGCTATCGCTCTGGATTTGTGTGTGTATTTACATAAATCTATAGTTTTAATCCTATCTCTCCGGATTTGTGTGTGTATTTATATAAATCTATAGTTTCAGTTAATGGCTTTGTTTTTGCTTTGTTTTGTTTTAACTAAATGGTTTCATGCCTTACGCTTTATTCTAAAAACTGCTTTTTGTTTTCAACCACATGTATTTTAGATATTTTTTTTCTCATCAGTATGTATAAACCTGCTTCATTCTCTGGAATTGATGCACAGAACCCCATAGCGTGACATACCACAGATTATTTCACCATTTTGGTAGCACTAGGTCGTTGTTTCTAATTCTTAAAATATGCCCCCTTTTGCACATATGCAAGTATTTCTCTGGGACAGATTCTGGGTTATAGGTTTGTATACATTTAAAATTTTAGTAGCTACTGCCCATTTGCCCTCCAGCAAAGCTTTATATACTTGTAGTACGATCTGTACTGTATGAGAGCACCCTTACCCTCAGCAACACTTGATATTGTTGTTTTTCATTTTTATCTATCTTATGGTTGAAAACGGTATCCGGTTCCTTTAATTTTCATTTTCCTTGTAGCTAGTAAGATTAGTGTTTTGTTTTGTTTTTTTGAGACGGAGTCTTGCTGTGTTGCCCAGGCTGGAGTGCAGTGGCGTGGTCATAGCTCACTGCAACCTGGAACTCCTGGGCTCAAACCATCCTCCTGCCTCCACCTCCTGAGTAGCCAGGAATACAGGCAAATACCACCATGCCTGGCTGATTTTTAACATTTTTCTGTAGAGGTGGGATCTTCTTATGTTGCCCAGGTTGGTCTTCAACTCCTGGGCTCAAGTGATCCTCCTGCCTCATCCTCCCAAAGTGCTGGGATTACAAGCGTGAGCCACTGTACCTAGCCCCAGTTGTCTTCTTCCTCTAAACACTCATGAGTTTCTCATACTCTAAGAAATTATTCTCCTTTATTCCTTTCTTTGAGTAGTCTCTACAACTTGGTCTCTGCATTCTTTCCTTGTGGAATTCTTGTTACGTGAACGTTGGATCTTCTAGATCTGCTGCCATGTCTCTTAATTTTCCTTTCATGCTTTCTGTCTCTTTGTCCTTTTGAACTGCTTTCTGAAAGAATTCCTCAACCCAGTCTTCCTATTTTAATTTATTCTTCACTTGCATCCATTGTGCTATTTGGCCCAGCTGTTGAATTTTTATTTTAAAAATCCAGCTTTTTAATTTCCAGCATATCTAGCTGATTCTTTTCTCATGGGCATAATATTCTCATGTCTCTCCCACGGAATAGAAATTATGTGTTTGTTAAAGCACTGGGTTGCCTGTTCCATTTCTCTGTCCTACAGTGTACAATCTTCAGTGCCTGTTCCATTCCTCTGTCCTCCAGTGTAAGATCTTCAGTGCGTGTTCCATTCCTCTGTCCTCCAGTGTAAGATCTTCAGTGCCTGTTCCATTTCTCTGTCCTCAAGTGTAAGCTCTTCAGTGCCTGTTCCATTCCTCTGTCCTCCACTGTAAGATCTTCAGTGCCTGTTCCATTCCTCTGTCCTCCAGTGTAAGATCTTCAGTGCCTGTTCCATTCCTCTGTCCTCCAGTGTAAGATCTTCAGTGCCTGTTCCATTCCTCTGTCCTCCAGTGTAAGATCTTCAGTGCCTGTTCCATTCCTCTGTCCTCCAGTGTAAGATCTTCATTGCCTGTTCCATTCCTCTGTCCTCCAGTGTAAGATCTTCGGTGCCTGTTCCATTCCTCTGTCCTCCAGTGTAAGATCTTCGGTGCCTGTTCCATTCCTCTGTCCTCCAGTGTAAGATCTTCGGTGCCTGTTCCATTCCTCTGTCCTCCAGTGTAAGATCTTCGGTGCCTGTTCCATTCCTCTGTCCTCTAGTGTAAGATCTTCGGTGCCTGTTCCATTCCTCTGTCCTCCAGTGTAAGATCTTCGGTGCCTGTTCCATTCCTCTGTCCTCCAGTGTAAGATCTTCAGTGCCTGTTCCATTCCTCTGTCCTCCAGTGTAAGATCTTCAGTGCCTGTTCCATTCCTCTGTCCTCCAGTGTAAGATCTTCAGTGCCTGTTCCATTCCTCTGTCCTCCAGTGTAAGATTTTCATTGCCTGTTCATTCCTCTGTCCTCTAGTGTAAGATCTTCATTGCCTGTTCCATTCCTCTGTCCTCCAGTGTAAGATCTTCAGTGCCTGTTCCATTCCTCTGTCCTATAGTGTAAGATCTTAGTGCCTGTTCCATTCCTCTGTCCTCCAGTGTAAGATCTTCAGTGCCTGTACCATTCCTCTGTCCTCCAGTGTAAGATCTTCATTACCTGTTCCATTCCTCTGTCCTCCAGTGTAAGATCTTCAGTGCCTGTTCCATTCCTCTGTCCTATAGTGTAAGATCTTCAGTGCCTGTTCCATTCCTCTGTCCTCCAGTGTAAGATCTTCAGTGCCTGTTCCATTCCTCTGTCCTCCAGTGTAAGATCTTCAGTTTGTTCAGCATGGCAATTCTTTCTCTTTAGCATTTCTCAAATGTTTAGTGATTCTTAGCTGAAACCTCATTTTTATTTTATTTGTTTATTTTTTGAGACCAAGTCTCACTCCATCGCCCAGGCTGGAGTGCAGTGGCACAATCTCAGCTCACTGCAATCGCCGCCTCCTGGGTTTAAGCAATTCTCCTGCCTCAGCCTCCCAAGTAGCTGGGACTACAGGCGCCCACCACCCATGCCCAGCTAAGTTTTGTATTTTTAGTAGAGACAGGGTTTCACCATGTTGGCCAGGCTGGTCTCGAACTCTTGACACCTCAAGTGATCCACCTGTCTCAGTCTCCCAAAGTGCTGGGATGACAGGTGTGAGCCACCGTGCCCGGCCTTATTTTTATTTTTGACATTCTCTATTAGTCTGATCAAGAATGCTCTTTTACTGCTACCTGCTCGTGGGCGAGAAATGGGAATTGCTACTTGGCTAAGTGTATCACAGACAGCTTTTCCAAAGTGAGGGGGGCCAGACCTGGAGAAACCTGCCAGGTGGGTGTCCCAGCAGCTGATCTCCTAGGCTTGGAGGCTCCCTGGTCTTCTTGGGTGTTGGCCGCCCCTCTGGCTACTGCTGAAGTTCTCAGACCCAGAGGCCCACCCCTGCCGCCTGACGTGAGCATTCACGCATTCACGGTGTGGGTGCAGACACGGACAGCGGCCCCATCCTGCTCCTGGTATCGCCACCTTCATGTCTTTCATTTTCGAGAAGCATTTTTGGGCAGTGATTTTCTGTCATCCTTCCTACCAGGAAGTCCTCAGGCTTCTAGTATACCACTTTTCTTGTCTGGATTTGGATTTTCATGAAAATCTTTTTATTATTTCTGACGCTCCGGGGCAGGAATGGGAGGTTGCAACGTGTGCTCAGTGTGCATCTTGCCGAGCTTGGCAGAACGCTAGGGAAATCGCCACCCTTTCCCTCATCCTTCCTACCCCTCACACCTAGAGCCAGCTGATCACCTTATCAGACTGGACTGTGAGGCAGCCAAGAAAGCAGGCGAACAGGACTTTATGAGCTGCAAGAAAGAAGGAGCCTGGATGGAGCAGGCAGATTTGCTGTCAGCGGATGGGGGAGGAGGAAGGCAGTCCCTTCTACCCCTGCTCTCAGGATGATTCAGAGTTGATCTCTTTCATATTCATTTGTTCTTTTCTTCATTTGCATGATAGATATTTACTCTGCATTTTCTACATCCTAGGCCCCGTGCTGGGGACTGAAGGCACAAAGATAAGAAATACACACTCTCTGCCTTCAAAGAGTTCACCATTTTTGTATGGAGAAGAAAGACATTAATAGAAGATTCCAGTATAACAGATGTAACAAAACTGGTATATGCTGTACAAGGCATAGCAGGATCTCAGAAGAGGAATTGATAGGCTGAAGCAGGGGCTGAGGGCAGGGGTCATAGACAAATTCTGTTTTAATCTGAATCTTAAAAGAATGGGTGGGATCTTACCAACGTGACAGTAATGGGGGAAAGAAGGAAGAGGGAGTCTCATGGAGTTTGGAGGCAGCAGAGGGAGACAGGGCTGCATAGGTAGATCGGGTCAGGTTTTATATGCCTTGCTAAATAATTTATTTTTTATTTTGTGGACAGTGAAAGATTTTAAGTGCGGGGGGCATGATCTCACTTGTATTTTGTAAAAGTCTAGTGGATTATAGAGGTACAGGAGTCTGGATAAAATAAGACCCTTAGGAGGCAGTGGCCACGCGGTCACGGAGATGTGTGTGGGAGCCGATCTCCAGTCCGTGATATGGATTAGAAAAGATAAGACCCTTAGGAGGCAGTGGCCACGCGGTCACGGAGATGTGTGTGGGAGCCGATCTCCAGTCAGTGGTGTGGATTAGAAAAGATAAGACCCTTAGGAGGCAGTGGCCACGCGGTCACGGAGATGTGTGTGGGAGCCAGTCTCCAGTCCGTGATATGGATTAGAAAAGATAAGACCCTTAGGAGGCAGTGGCCACGCGGTCACGGAGATGTGTGTGGGAGCCGATCTCCAGTCAGTGGTGTGGATTAGAAAAGATAAGACCCTTAGGAGGCAGTGGCCATGCGGTCACGGAGATGTGTGTGGGAGCCAGTCTCCAGTCCGTGATACGGATTAGAAAAGATAAGACCCTTAGGAGGCAGTGGCCACGCGGTCACGGAGATGTGTGTGGGAGCCAATCTCCAGTCAGTGGTATGGATTAGAAAAGATAAGACCCTTAGGAGGCAGTGGCCACACGGTCACGGAGATGTGTGTGGGAGCCGATCTCCAGTCCGTAGTATGGATTAGAAAAAATAAGACCCTTATCAGGCAGAGGCCACGCGGTCATGGAGATGTGTGTGGGAGCCGATCTCCAGTCCGTGGTATGGATTAGAAAAGATAAGACCCTTATCAGGCAGAGGCCACACGGTCACGGAGATGTGTGTGGGAGCCAGTCTCCAGTCCGTGGTATGAATTAGAAAAGATAAGACCCTTATCAGGCAGAGGCCACGCGGTCACCGAGATGTGTGTAAGAGCCAGTCTCCAGTCCGTGGTATGAATTAGAAAAGATAAGACCCTTATCAGGCAGAGGCCACGCGGTCACCGAGATGTGTGTGGGAGCCAGTCTCCAGTCCGTGATATGGATTAGAAAAGATAAGACCCTTAGGAGGCAGTGGCCACACGGTCACGGAGATGTGTGTGGGAGCCAGTCTCCAGTCCGTGGTATGAATTAGAAAAGATAAGACCCTTATCAGGCAGAGACCACGCGGTCACGGAGATGTGTGTAAGAGCCAGTCTCCAGTCCGTGATATGGATTAGAAAAGATAAGACCCTTAGGAGGCAGTGGCCACACGGTCACGGAGATGTGTGTGGGAGCCTATCTCCAGTCGGTATAAAGGAAGGGGTTGTGCATGGCAGGAACATGACAGAACTAACTTTTATTTGGCAGAAACCAGCATAGGGATTCGTTAATAACTCAAAATGGATCTGTAACCTAGATGTAAAACCTAATTCTAAAACTCTTAGAAGAAAACGAAGACCAGATCTTCACACCACTGTATTTGGCAGCAGTTTCTTGGATATGACACCAAAGTCCTAGGCAACAAAAGGAAAACATAGATAAATGGGACTTTATGAAAAATTTTAAAACTTGTGCATGAAAAAACACTATCAGCAGGGTAAAATGGCAATGCACAGAATGGGAAGAATATTTCCAAATCATTTATCTGATAATGGATTAATATCTAGAATATATAAAGAATTCCCAGAAATCAACAACAAAAAGCCAAACAACTCAATTAAAAAACCAGCAAAGGATTTGAATAAGCATTTCTCCAAAGAAGATAAATAAATGGCCAATAAACATGAAAAGATGCCCCCGTTAGGACGTGAAGTGACACTGCATTGTGGTTTCCACCTGCATTTCTCCAACAGGCTTTTTAGGTTGATGTAGTCCCACTTGTTTCTTTTTGCTTTTGCTGCCTGTACTTTTGGTGGGCTCTTTGCTTTTCAACATTTGTTTAAAGAGGTAGTTTTAAAAATTTGAAGGAACTTAATAATCACTGTTATAATCACATTCCTGAAAAATAGAAAGTCCAACATTCTATGAATATATTTCAGTGCTCCAAACATTCATTATCACATAAGGTTGCTGCAAACACAGGAGGATTTACTTATCTTTTAGTTCATTTCGCAATCTCTATTTGCAATAATTTTGTGTAGGTTAATACAGAATATGTGCTATTAAGTAACACTAAAAAGGCTGGGCATGGTGGCTCACACCTGGAGTCCCAGCACTTTGGTAGGCTGAGACAGGCAGATCGCTTGAGCTCTGGAGTTCAAGACCAGCCTGGACAACATGGTGAAACCCTGTCTCTACCAAAAATACAAAAAGTGAGCTGGTGTGGTGATGTGTGCCTGTGGTTCCAGTTACTTGGGAGGCTGAAATGGGAGGATCACTTGAGCTCCGGAAGTGGAGGCTGCAGTGAGCCGAGACTGTGCCACTGCACTCCAGCCTGGGCAAGAAAGCAGACCCGTCTCGGGGGAAAAAAAAAAATAACACTAAAAAGAGCACAAGAGGAGACAACTTCTTATTTTTATTTTCAGTGCTTGACTAGGATTGTTTTTTTAAGAGGTACTAAACGTTTGAGAAAAGTCCAGACTTCTTATTTTTAGCATCCTTTCTGGTGAATTTGCTTCCCTTATGTTTACGTGCTGATGGTAGAACCATCTGGAAATGAGAGAAATAGCTATTTGTTGTAAGGGGCGGGAGATGGCAGGCGGGTTACCACCCTCTGCATTGCTTCCGTTTCTCAAATTTACTGTCTTGCTGTCTGTAAAGTGTAGAAGTCATGTGAAAAGTTGTGTTCTGAAATCTTTGCCTGTACATTTGAAATAGGAAGTTCATGAGCCTTGATTTGAGCATAGCTAATTCTTCCAACTACCCTTCTGGCAAATGCTTCCATGCTTAATGTAGCATTGGAGGAAAGAGTTTTTTCTTTAGCATCTTTACATTTCAAATCCTCCTGGCCTAAGCATATCCGTGAAAGGGAATGTTTCTAGTCATCAGTCAGTATCTCCCAATGAAGAATGGAAGAGCCTTACATTCTCTTGAAAACCATGAAACTCTTGAACGAAAATATATTTTTCACAGCCATTTCTAACCTCTTATAAATGTGAGAAAGGCTTGGCAGGTCTCATGATGGAGTGAAAAAAGAACTCAACCTGGAAATGGACAGGCCTGCACAGCTCTATGGCCTCGACAAGTTCCTCCTGGGCCTCCTGGGTTGACACGTATGAGTGTTGTCCTCGGTTTCCAAGTATGAGTGTTGTCCTCAGTTGCCAAGTATGAGTGTTGTCCTTGATTTCCAAGTATGAGTGTTGTCCTCGCTTTCCAAGTATGAGTGTTGTCCTCACTTTCCAAGTATGAGTGTTGTCCTCACTTTCCAAGTATGAGTGTTGTCCTCGCTTTCCAAGTATGAGTGTTGTCCTCGCTTTCCAAGTATGAGTGTTGTCCTCGGTTTCCAAGTATGAGTGTTGTCCTCGGTTGCCAAGTATGAGTGTTGTCCTCGGTTTCCAAGTATGAGTGTTGTCCTCGGTTTCCAAGTATGAGTGTTGTCCTCAGTTGCCAAGTATGAGTGTTGTCCTTGATTTCCAAGTATGAGTGTTGTCCTTGATTTCCAAGTATGAGTGTTGTCCTCGCTTTCCAAGTATGAGTGTTGTCCTCGCTTTCCAAGTATGAGTATTGTCCTCAGTTGCCAAGTATGAGTGTTGTCCTCGGTTTCCAAGTATGAGTGTTGTCCTCAGTTGCCAAGTATGAGTGTTGTCCTCGGTTTCCCAGTATGAGTGTTGTCCTCACTTTCCAAGTATGAGTGTTGTCCTCACTTTCCAAGTATGAGTGTTGTCCTCGGTTTCCAAGTATGAGTGTTGTCCTCAGTTGCCAAGTATGAGTGTTGTCCTCGCTTTCCAAGTATGAGTGTTGTCCTCGCTTTCCAAGTATGAGTGTTGTCCTCGCTTTCCAAGTGTGAGTGTTGTCCTCGGTTTCCAAGTATGAGTGTTGTCCTCAGTTGCCAAGTATGAGTGTTGTCCTTGATTTCCAAGTATGAGTGTTGTCCTCGCTTTCCAAGTATGAGTGTTGTCCTCGCTTTCCAAGTATGAGTGTTGTCCTCGCTTTCCAAGTATGAGAGTTGTCCTCGGTTGCCAAGTATGAGTGTTGTCCTCGGTTGCCAAGTATGAGTGTTGTCCTCGATTTCCAAGTATGAGTGTTGTCCTCGATTTCCAAGTATGAGTGTTGTCCTCGCTTTCCAAGTATGAGTGTTGTCCTCGCTTTCCAAGTATGAGTGTTGTCCTTGATTTCCAAGTATGAGTGTTGTCCTCGCTTTCCAAGTATGAGTGTTGTCCTCGCTTTCCAAGTATGAGTGTTGTCCTCGGTTGCCAAGTATGAGTGTTGTCCTCGGTTGCCAAGTATGAGTGTTGTCCTCGCTTTCCAAGTATGAGTGTTGTCCTCGCTTTCCAAGTATGAGTGTTGTCCCCAGTTGCCAAGTATGAGTGTTGTCCTCAGTTGCCAAGTATGAGTGTTGTCCTTGATTTCCAAGTATGAGTGTTGTCCTCGCTTTCCAAGTATGAGTGTTGTCCTCGCTTTCCAAGTATGAGTGTTGTCCTCGGTTTCCAAGTATGAGTGTTGTCCTCAGTTGCCAAGTATGAGTGTTGTCCTCGCTTTCCAAGTATGAGTGTTGTCCTCGGTTTCCGAGTATGAGTGTTTTCCTCGCTTTCCAAGTATGAGTGTTGTCCTCGCTTTCCAAGTATGAGTGTTGTCCTCGCTTTCCAAGTATGAGTGTTGTCCTCGGTTGCCAAGTATGAGTGTTGTCCTTGGTGATCTCAGAAGTGTCTCATGGGGTCACTCAAGATTCTAGGCTGAGATTCTTTATGGTGTCTGTTTGGAACTGTAGCATTTGACTAATTAACCCTGCTGTTTAGAAGACTGTGGTTTGGGAGGGCGGTATATTTATTTGGGAACTGTTGGGGGTGTTTTCTTTGGGACTGTCACTCACAAGGTAACAAAAGTCTCAGGGCTACTTTATCCACAGATATCTGAACAATGTTCATAATTTGCTGTCTGTCTGTGACTCCCCCTTACGAAAAGCTGAGAACA
Source organism: Homo sapiens (assembly GCF_000001405.40). Lineage (NCBI taxonomy): Eukaryota > Metazoa > Chordata > Mammalia > Primates > Hominidae > Homo > Homo sapiens. The sequence goes on along the minus strand of NW_017363817.1, from coordinate 201,469 downwards.
CTTTTAGGAAAGGGTGCCTTGGAACAGCCCTGCAGTCACGTGGCATGGAGGATGCCAGAAACCACCTGGTTGACTTTCCTTTCTGGGCAGCACAATGAATCTTTTGTTTCTGAAGAGTGACCCATTTGGGGTTGCCACCATGCAACAGGCTGAACTTACGTGGATGCCAGGAGGAATTTTTGTTTTCCCTGTTCTCTATGAGTTGTAGGCGGACTTTCACAAGAATGGCTAGGAAATCAGTTGGGCACAGTGGCTCATGCCTGTAATCCTAGCACTTTGGGAGGCTGAAGTGGGCAGATCGCTTGAGCCCAGGAGTTTGAGATCAGCCTGGGCAACATGGCAAAACTCCATCTCTACAAAAAATACAAGAATTAGCTGGGCATGGAGGTGCACACCTATAGTCCCAGCTACTCAGGAGGCTGAGAGAAGGGAGGATCACTTAACCCTGGGAGGTTGAGGCTGCAGTGAGCCACAAATGCACCACTGTACTCCAGTCTGAAAAGAAAGGAATGACTAGGAAATCTTGGTAGTTTGGCACATATATGTGCTTTGCTGACAGTTATCAGTTGAGCTACCTCTTTGTAGTGGGAACCTTTTCATGGTTAGAAGAGGAAGGAGTTTAAAGGAATGAGGCCAAAGATAAATTCTTTCAAGTCTGTTGACTTCTTTCTAGAATCCTATTTAAGCAATTGCTTATAAAGACTGAAATTCACATCTTACCCTGAAAATGCATGGGATTGAGGTTTGGGTCTATAGATACCATCAGTGATGTCTGTAAGGGAATAGTTGCTTTCATCTGAGTCATTGATAGCCACTTCACAAACTGCTATTGGTAGAGGCTGGGCGCAGTGACTCACGCCTGTAATCCCAGCACTTTGGGAGGCCGAGGTGGGTGGATCACCTGAGATCAGGAGTTGGAGACCAGCCTGGCCAACATGGTGAAACCCTGTCTCTACTAAAAATACAAAAAATTAGCCAGGCGTGGTGGCAGGCGCCTGTAATCCCAGCTACTTGGGAAGCTGAGGCAGGAGAATCCCTTCAACCCAGGAGGCGGAGGTTGCAGTGAGCCGAGATTATCCCATTGCACTCCAGCCTGGGAGACAAGAGTGAGACTTCGTCTCAAAAAAAAAACAAAGAAAAAAACTGCTGTTGGAAACATTGACATTTATATGCGTATCCTTCTGCTCCAGGATTAAGCATACATCTAACCTCTAGCCACCTGTAAAGCCAGTTAGCACCGTAAGATGGGTGTTGTGGAATAATCAGTACTGGAGAGGACACAGAATCATCTAGTATGGGCTGCTAGCCCCACCCTCTTATTTCACAGCTATTCAAAGTTGTGACCCACAGAGAGGAAGTGACTTGTGATTATGCGGCTCACTAGTAACATAACCAGGTCCAGCCTATCTCAAGAGGTGACTTTGAAAATGAAGAACATGGCGACATAGGCAGTTCTAAGATGGCTGAATAGGAACAGCTCTAGTCTACAGCTCCCAGCTTGAACGACGCAGAAGACGGGTGATTTCTGCATTTCCAACTGAGTTACCAGGTTCATCTCATTGGGGCTTGTCGGACAGTGGGTGCAGGACAGTGGGTGCAGCCCACCAAACATGAGCTGAAGCAGGGCAGGGCATCGCGTCACCCGGGAAGCGCAAGGGGTCAGGGAATTCCCTTTCATAGACAAGCAAAGGTGTGACAGACGGCACCTGGAAAATTGGGTCACTCCCACCCTAATACTGCACTTTTCCAACAGTCTTAGCAAATGGCACACCAGGAGATTATATCTGGTGCCTGGCTCGGCGGGTCCCACACCCACGGAGACTCGCTCATTGCTAGCACAGCAGTCTGAGATCAAACTGCAAGGCGGCAGCAAGGCTGGGAGAGGGGCGCCCGCCATTGCTGAGGCTTGAGCAGGTAAACAAAGTGGCCAGGAAGCTGGAACTGGATGGAGCCCAGCACAGCTCAAGGAGGCCTGCCTGCCTCTGTAGACTCCACCTCTGGGGGCAGGGCATAGCCAAACAAAAGGCAGCAGAAACATCTGCAGACTTAAATGTCCCTGTCTGACAGCTTTGAAGAGAGTAGTGGTTCTCCCAGCACAGAATTTGAGATCTAAGAATGGACAGACTGCCTCCTCAAGTGGGTCCCTGACCCCCGAGTAGCCTAACTGGGAGGCACCCTCCAGTAGGGGCAGACTGACACCTCACACAGCCACGTACCCCTCTGAGACGAAGTCAGGCAGCAACATTGGCTGTTCAGCAGTATTTGCTATTCTGCAGCCTCCGCTGCTGATACCCAGGCAAACAGCATCTGGAGTGGACCTCCAGCAAACTCCAACAGACCTGCAGCTGAGGGTCCTGACTGTTAGAAGGAAAACTAACAAACAGAAAGGACATCCACACCAAAACCCCATCTGTACGTCACCATCATCAAAAACCAAAGGTAGATAAAACCCCAAAGATGGGGAAAAAACAGCAGAAAAGCTGAAAATTCTAAAAATCAGAGCACCTCTCCCCCTCCAAAGGAACAAAGCACCTCGCCAGCAATGGAACAAAGCTGGACGGAGAATGACTTTGACGAGTTGAGAGAAGAAGGCTTCAGACGATCAAACTTCTCTGAGCTAAAGGAGGAAGTTTGAACCCATCACAAAGAAGCTAAAAACCTTGAAAAAAGATTAGACGAATGGCTAACTAGAATAACCAGTCTAGAGAAGTCCTTAAATGACCTAATGGAGCTGAAAACCATGGCACAAGAACTACCTGACGAGCGCACAAGCTTCAGTAGCCAATTCGATCAACTGGAAGAAAGGGTATCAGTGATTGAAGATCGAATGAATGAAATGAAGCAAGAAGAGAAGTTTAGAGAATAAAGAGTAAAAAGAAATGAACAAAGCCTCCAAGAAATACGGGACTATGTGAAAAGACCAAATCTACGTCTTATTGGTGTACCTGAAAGTGATGGGGAGAATGGAACCAAGTTGGAAAACACTCTGCAGGATATTATTCAGGAGAACTTCCCCAACCTAGCAAGGCAGGCCAACATTCAAATTCAGGAAATACAGAGAACACCACAAAGATATTCCTCGAGAAGAGCAATTCCAAGACACATAACTGTCAGACTCACCAAAGTTGAAATGAAGGAAAAAAATGTTAAAGGCAGTCAGAGAGAAAGGTCAGGTTACCCACAAAGGGAAGCCCATCAGACTAACAGCGGATCTTTCGGCAGAAACTCTATAAGCCAGAAGAGAGTGGGGGCCAATATTCAACATTCTTGAAGAAAAGAATTTTCAACCCAGAATTTCATATCCAGCCAAACTAAGCTTCATAAGTGAAGGAGAAATAAAATCCTTTACAGACAAGCAAATGCTGAGAGATTTTTTCACCACCAGGCCTGCCCTACAAGAGCTCCTGAAGGAAGCACTAAACATGGAAAGGAACAACCGGTACTAGCCACTGCAAAAACATGCCAAATTGTAAAGACCATCCATGCTAGGAAGAAACTGCATCAATTAACGAGCAAAATAACCAGCTAACATTATAATGACAGGATCAAATTCACACATAACAATATTAACCTTAAATGTATATGGGCTAAATGCTCCAATTAAAAGACACAGACTGGCAAATTGGCTCAAGAGTCAAGACCCATCGGTGTGCTGTATTCAGGAGACCCATCTCATGTGCAAAGACACACATAGGCTCAAAATAAAGGGATGGAGGAAGATCTACCAAGCAAATGGAAAACAAAAAAAGGCAGGGGTTGCAATCCTAGTCTCTCATAAAAGAGACTTTAAACCAACAAAGATCAAAAGAGACAAAGAAGGCCATTACTTAATGGTAAAGGGATCAATTCAACAAGAAGAGCTAACTATCCTAAATATATATGCACCCAATACAGGAGTACGCAGATTCATAAAGCAAGTCCTTAGAAACTACAAAGAGACTTAGACTCCCACACAATAGTAATGGGAGACTTTAACACCCCACTGTCAACATTAGACAGATCAATGAGACAGAAAGTTAACAAGAATATCCAGGAATTGAACTAGCTGTGCACCAAACGGACCTAATAGACATCTACAGAACTCTCCACCCCAAATCAACAGAATATACATTCTTCTCAGCACCACATCGCACTTATTCCAAAATTGATCACATAGTTGGAAGTAAAGCATTCCTCAGCAAATGTAAAAGAACAGAAATTATAACGAACTGTCTCTCAGACCACAGTGCAATCAAACTAGAGCTCAGGGTTAAGAAACTAACTCAAAACCACTCAACTACTGGAAACTGAACAACCTGCTCCTGAATGACTACTGGATACATAATGAAATGAAGGCAGACATGAAGATGTTCTTTGAAACCAATGAGAACAAGATACAACATACCAGAATCTCTGGGACACATTTAAAGCAGTGTGTAGAGGGAAATTTATAACACTAAATGCCCACAAGAGAAAGCAGAAAAGATCTAAAATTGACACCCTAACATCACAATTAAAATAACTGTAGAAGCAAGAGCAAACACATTCAAAAGCTCGCAGAAGTCAAGAAATAACTAAGATCAGAGCAGAACTGAGGGAGATAGAGACACAAAAAACCCTTCAAAAAAATCAATGAATCCAGGAGCTGGTTTTTTGAAAGGATCAACAAAATTGATAGACTGCTAGCAAGACTAATAAAGAAGAAAAGAGAGAAGAATCAAATAGATGCAATAAAAAATGATAAAGGGGATATCACCACTGATCCCACAGAAATACAAACTACCATCAGAAAATACTATAAACACCCCTATGCAAATAAACTACAAAATCTAGAAGAAATGGATAAATTCCTGGACACATACACCCTCCCAAGACTAAACCAGGAAGAAGTTGAATCCCTGAATAGACCAATAACAGGCTCTGAAATTGAGGCAATAATTAATAGCCTACCAACCAAAAAAAGTCCAGGACCAGATGGATTCACAGCCGAATTCTACCAGAGGTACAAGGAGGAGCTGGTACCATTCCTTCTGAAACTATTCCAATCAATAGAAAAAGAGGGAATCCTCCCTAACTCATTTTATGAGACCAGCATCATCCTGATACCAAAGCCTGGCAGAGACACAACAAAAAAAGAGAATTTTAGACCAATATCCCTGATGAACATTGGCACAAAAATCCTCAGTAAAATACTGGCAAACCAAATCCAGCAGCACATCAAAAAGCTTATCCACCATGATCAAGTGGGCTTCATCCCTGGGATGCAAGGCTGGTTCAACATATGCAAATCAAAAAATGTAATTCATCATATAAACAGAACCAAAGACAAAAACCACATGATTATCTCAATAGATGCAGAAAAGGCCTTTGACAAAATTCAACAGCCCTTCATGCTAAAAACTCTCAATAAATTAGGCATTGATGGGACTTATCTCAAAATAATAAGAGCTATCTATGACAAACCCACAGCCAATATCATACTGAATGGGCAAAAACTGGAAGCATTCCCTTTGAAAACTGGCACAAGACAGGGATGCCCTCTTTCACCATTCCTATTCAACATAGTGTTGGAAGATCTGGCCAAGGCAATCAGGCAGGAGAAAGAAATAAAGGGTATTCAATTAGGAAAAGAGGAAGTCAAATTGTCCCTGTTTGCAGATGACATGATTGTATATTTAGAAAACCCCATCGTTTCAGCCCAAAATCTCCTTAAGCTGATAAGCAACTTCAGCAAAGTCTCAGGAGACAAAATCAGTGTGCAAAAATCACAAGCATTCTTATGCACCAATAACAGACAAACAGAGAGCCAAATCATGAGGGAACTCCCATTCACAATTGCTACAAAGAGAATAAAATCCAACTAGGAATTTGGGAATCCTAGGAATCCAACTTACAAGGGATGTGAAGGACCTCTTCAAGGAGAACTACAAACCACTGCTCAATGAAATAAAAGAGTATACAAACAAATGGAAGAACATTCCATGCTCATGGATAGGAAGAACCAATATCGTGAAAATGGCCATACTGCCCAAGGTAATTTATAGATTCAGTGCCATCCCCATCAAGCTACCAATGACTTTCTTCACAGAATTGGAAAAAACTACTTTAAAGTTCATATGGAACCAAAAAAGGTCCCGCATTGCCAAGACAATCTTAAGCCAAAAGAACAAAGCTGGAGGCATCATGCTACCTGACTTCAAACTATACTACAAGGCTATAGTAACCAAAACAGCATGGTACTGGTACCAAAACAGAGATGTAGATCAATGGAACAGAACAGAGCCCTCAGAAATAATACCACACATCTACAACCATCTGATCTTTGACAAACCTGACAAAAACAAGAAATGGGGAAAGGATTCCCTATTTAATAAATGGTGCTGGGAAAACTGGCTAGCCATACGTGGAAAGCTGAAACTGGATCCCTTCCTTACACCTTATACAAAAATTAATTCAAGATGGATTAAAGACTTAAATGTTAGACCTAAAACCATAAAAACCCTAGAAGAAAACCTAGGCAATACCATTCAGGACATAGGCATGGGCAAGGACTTCATGTCTAAAACACTTAAAGCAATGGCAACAAAAGCCAAAATTGACAAATGGGATCTAATTAAACTAAAGAGCTTCTGCACAGCAAAAGAAACTATGATCAAAGTGAACAGGCAACCTACAGAATGGGAGAAAATTTTTGCAATCTACTCATCTGATGAAGGGCTAATATCCAGAATCTATAAATAACTCAAACAAATTTACAAGAAAAAAACAAACAACCCCATCAAGAAGTGGGCGAAGGATATGAACAGATGCTTCTCAAAAGAAGACATTTATGCAGCCAACAGACACATGAAAAAATGCTAACCATCACTGGTCATCAGAGAAATGCAAATCAAAACCACAATGAGATACCATCTCACACCAGTTAGAATGGTGATCATTAAAAAGTCAGGAAACAACAGATGCTGGAGAGGATGTGGAGAAATAGGAACAATTTTACACTGTTGGTGGTAATGTAAACTAGTTCAACCATTGTGGAGGACAGTGTGGCGATTCCTCAAGGATCTAGAACTAGAAATACCATTTGACCCAGCCACCCCATTACTGGGTATATACCCAAAGGATTATAAATCATGCTGCTATAAAGACACATGCACACGTATGTTTATTGCGGCACTATTCACAATAGCAAAGACTTGGAACCAACCCAAATGTCCATCAATGATAGACTGGATTAAGAAAATGTGGCACATATACACCATGGAATACTATGCAGCCATAAAAAAGGATGAGTTCATGTCCCTTTTAGGGACACAGATGAAGCTGGAAACCATCATTCTCAGCAAACTATTGCAAGGACAAAAAACCAAACACTGCATGTTCTCACTCATAGGTGGGAATTGAACAATGAGAACACTTGGACACAGGAAGGGGAACATCACACACCGGGGCCTGTTGTGGGGTGGGGGGAGGGGGGAGGGATAGCATTAGGAGATATAGCTAATGTAAATGATGAGTTAATGGGTGCAGCACATCAGCATGGCACATGTATACATATGTAACGAACCTGCACATTGTGCACATGTACCCTAAAACTGAAAGTATAATAATAAAAAAAAATAAGGTGTACATAATAATTTAATGTAAAAAAATGAAAATGAAGAGCATGGCAAGGAAGTCTACAAATCAGAGACTGGTAATTTTTCCTCTTTTTTGTCTCTGGTGATACCAGGTGCTGTCACAGGCTCTGGTTCTCCTTTCTGCCACCTCAGTTCCAGAGTCACCAAGAATTCAGAGTAGGGAATAGTTTGGGCCAGAGGCTCTCCTTTCTGCCACCTCAGTTCCAGAGTCACCAAGAATATGGAGTAGCAAATAGTTCGGGCCAGGGGCAGAGCCGGGCCCACCAGTGTCATTGAGATGGCCAGTAGTCCTGAGAATGTGACTGTGGGTGCCCTGGCTAGCGGCTGGACTTCCCCTGTGAGGAGAACTCCTTCCTCTTCTAACCATGAAAAGTTCCTACTATAAGTTCCCTGTGGCTTAGGAGGGAACTGGTGCTGTGTGTGTGCTTCCAAGAAGAGGGTAGGAACAGGGGGGGCCTGAGCCTCTGGAAGCTGTCCTGTGACCTGGCACCACAGCAGGCTGTGTGCTGCCTCCTCGTGTGCGCATCACAAGAAGCTCCGAAGTACAATTTTATTCTTTTCTCTCATGTCAAAGTTCACGCTGAAGGAATGTCTCCCATTGTCTGCTGGACAGCTCTAGACGTATGGCCCTGATTCCAATCTGGAGGTGGCGGCTATTCCAGTAATAGCCTCGTCTGGATCATTCTGGCCTCCTTGAAAACTGACTCAAAAGGCTACAAACCCACCTCTAAGAGTGGTTTTAAAAGTTTTGAAGATACTGGAAAAACCTTGGAAAGTATTTGGAATAAGGTATAATTGTAACCACGCCACGGAAAAAACAGATTGTTTTGGGTCATGCCTATCCCCTCATCTGAAAAAAAATCTCAGCAGGTTGCCAGACACTCCTTAGCAGCCAAAGAAATTGTGGTTTTGAGCTGTTGCTATTTCTAGAAACTTCATAAAGTTAATTCTGAAGGAACAGGGTGGAGACCGAGAATGGAAGTGTGCTCTTTTAAGGCATTTTTAGCAACCAGACAGTATTTGCCTCAGGCTCAGGAAGCCCAGCAGGGCCTGAGAATCTTGTTCCACTCTCTCTCTGCAAGGCTGGCCGGTGCACGGTGGCCACCAACATCAGGCAGCTCGTGGGGGATGCACAGCATGCGATCGATTGTGGGGCGTGATCGATTGCGGGACGTGATTGCGGGGCCTGATCCATTGCGGGGCGTGATTGATCGTGGGGTATGATCCATAGCCGCTTTCCATCCTAGCCGCTTCTCCTTTCTGCCCTTGCATTCAAGTACACGCACAGTTCTTGAGCTCCTAGTACACTCACGGCCACTGTTGAGTACTGGCCTCCCCTTTCTAGCTGGTTTTCCTTGCAGTTCCGTTTTCATATTCACAAACTTCTGAACTTAAATGGTCACTCAGTGGCCCTCACTAGTGATCATTTAGCAGTTCATTTTGTCACTTGGCTCTTTTTGTTTTTACCTTAGAAAACATTCTTTTCATTTATTTGTTTAAAAACTTAACGAGCTTGTTGGTTTCTGGGTTAACAGGAAACCCAAAACACTGCAGCTGCATGGATTGAACTGGACGTGATGTGAAATGAAATAAGCCAGACACGGGAAGACAGATTCCTCATGTTCTCACTCATGTGGGTGCTAAACATTTTCAAAGTAAACTCATGGAGATAGCGAGTAGAACGCTGGGTCCCAGAGGCTGGGAGGCATAGCAGGGAGGCGGGGAGTAACTGGGATGGCTACTGGGCACAAAAATACAGTTAGAATGATACGATCTAGTATTTGGTAGAACAATAGGGTGACTACGGTTAATAATTTATTGTTTATTTAAAAATAACTAAAAGATTGGAATTGGAATGTTCCTAACACGGAGAAGTAACAAATAACTTGGGGTGATTGATAACCCAGTTACCCTGATTTGATCATTATACATCGTATGCCTGTATCAAGACTTCACAGGTACCCCATAAATATATATATAATGATTATATACCCATAATAATTTTTTACAAAACACCCTAAAACATTATGGAGCCCTCTTGCCATTCTGTACTCCAAGGAGTAGGACAGCAGTTACACCAGTAATCCAAAGTGGATTTATTTGTTGTTGTTTGTTAGTGTTTTGTTTTAGAGCCAAGGTCTCCCTCTGTCACCCAGGCTGGAGTGCTGTGGTGTGATCATAGCTCAGTGTATCTTCAAAAGTCCTGGGCTCAAGAGATCCTCCCGCCGCAGCCTCCCGAGTACAGGTGTGTGCCCCCGCACCTGGGTACTTTTTATTTTAGTTTGTTTTTCGTGGAGACTGGATCTCTCTAATGTTGCCCAGGCTGGTTTTGAAATCCTGGTCTCAAGCGACCCTCTCACGTCAGCTTCCCACATGCTGGGATTCCAGGCGTGAACCACTGCGCCCAGCTAGATTTATATTTGATGTGGATGTGATTCTATAACATTTTCCCACAGCATGACTATCCCCCAGTGGAACTGTATAAAGATTAATACATATGACCTCAGGTAAAGGGTTGGCCTAGAAGAATTTTGGGGATATAGAAGATTCACCCTGAGAATATCTTGGATGCCTGGGTCCTGCTCATCAACCTGTCACTTAACTAGTATGTGACCTCTCACCTCATGGACGTCTCTGTACCCTTCCTGGCCTTTCTCGAAAGACTTCAGCCCTTCCGACCCTGTGGATCGGTGTGTAGTTACATAAGGATATGATGCCAGGTGATGATATGTTCTCTCTTCCTCACAGAGTGAAGGCTGCACAGACTGAGTTAGGACAGCAAATCCTGGCAGATTTTGAAGAAGCGTTTCCTTCCCAGGGCACCAAGGTACTGCTTTGCGTTTCCCCAGTCTTTAGAGATGATCACCATCCTTGCCGAGCTCACGCTCACCCCAGTCACCATGTGGTTATCATTCCAGTCATGCTCGCTGGCAGCTGCAAATCCTTCTGCTGCAGGTTCAGGGTAATGAGACCACCCTGGATTTTAAATGTCCCTAGGTGGTGGCAGTTCCTCCTCTGTTTCCTTCCAGCCTCAGAAAGAGAGGATTTGTTTGGGCTTAATTTGATGTAGGTCTCAAACCGTCTATCTTGTATGCCCTGTCAATTCCTTTTTTCTCATGGCTGTATTTAAAAGAAATCTTCATGCCGCGGTGTTTTTAGGATTGTTACATAACTTACTGGTTTTGGTTTGGTGAAAAGACAACTGGGTGGAGCATCCACCATCTTATGTAACTCTCAGAGTGATATAGTGAGGAGCCTCACTGTTACTGACCATAAGCCTGCTCTTCGGAATTCATGCCCTTGAGCTCTCTCTGGTAGCAGAGCTGTTTGTGTTGTGTCTGCAAAGCCCACAGCATTTCACTTGGGAGCTGTTGGTTGCACTTCTCATGTAACAAGCTGCCATCCTGCTTGGGGAACTGCTTTTAGCTCCACCCTTCCAACTGTAGCAGATGCCATCTTAGCGCCTAGCATGTGTCGGACAGGAAAGAACCCATACGAGACTTTTTCTCTATTGTTTGAGCTATTTCAAGAGAAAGAATTGTTCAAGGCAGAAATATACTGAAGCACTTAGGGGCAAGGAGCCTCACCCTACTCGGTGGGTAGAGATGGGGACATACATTCATTTACTGATCCAAGGAACATTTCCTGCATCTGCTCTGTAATTCAATAACTGGAAATATCTTAATTATTTTTTCTTTGTGTTCCATAAAAGAAATGTAGGAAGTAAGTGGGAGTAGCGGCCCCAGCTTTTGCCCATCACTTTCTATAGGAAGCCCGCTCCTGATTTTAATGTCTTCACATTTTGTGGCTGTCTGCTAGTAATCAGATGCTTATTTGTAAAGCACTTTCCTTGGAGAACCTCATATTCCTTAGTCATCTGATATAACTGCAGGGAGGGAGTAGATATTGGAAAGCCATTAGTCCTATTTATTACATGAGGAAAATGAAGGTCAAAGAAGTGAAAAGGGATTGTGGGGATATTCGCTCATGAGAAGCACTGGGCTCTTCTTAGGACAAGGTTAGCCTCACGTGTACTCAGCTGCCCGTTTCAGGTTTTTTTTTTTGTTTGTTTGTTTGTTTTTTTTTTGACGGAGTTTCACTCTTTGGCCCAGGCTAGAGTGCAATGGTGTGATCTCAGCCCACTGCAACCTCCGCCCCCTGGGTTCAAGTGATTCCTGCCTCAGCCTCCCAAATAGCTGGGATTACAGGCACCTGCCACCACACCTGGCTAATTTTTGTATTTTTAGTAGAGACGGGGTTTCTCCATGTTGGCCAGGATGGTTTCGAACTCCCAACCTCAGGTGATCCGCCCGCCTCGGCCTCCCAAAGTGCTGGGATTACAGGCATGAGCCACCATGCCCAGCCACTCATTTCAGTTTCTAGAAGTTTCAGGAAGATGTGGATGAAGCCCATCTTTATTGTTTAGAAGAGGCCTGCTTTATATTTTTTTTCCCAGATTCCACCGGGCAGATGAAATTAAAATGGTTCTCTTTAACAACATGCCTCCCTTTTCTCTGGCATAGTGACTTCGTGTGTGTGTGTGTGTGTGTGTGTGTGTGTGTGTGTGGTTTTTTTTTTGTTTTGTTTTTAGTTTTCTTTTCTTTTCTTTTTTTTGAGATGGAGTCTTGCTCCGTTGCCCAGGCTGGAGTGTCGTGGTGCGATCTCGGCTCACTGCAAGCTCCACCTTCCGAGTTCATGCCATTCTCTTGCCTCAGCCTCCTGAGTAGCTAGGACTACAGGCACCCGCCACCACGCCTGGCTAATTTTTTTGTATTTTTTTTTAGTAGAGATGGGGTTTCACCATGTTAGCCATGATGGATCTCGATCTCCTGACCTCATGATCTGCCTGCCTTGGCCTCCCAAAGTGCTGGGATTACAGGCGTGAGCCACCGCTCCCAGCCTAGTTTTCTTTTTAAAGACTATGGGCTTTTCTTAAAGGCCTTGTGTTACTATTTCCATTTCACAAGTGGGAATTAAGATTTTTAAAAATTTTTCCAAGGCACAACCTAGTAAACTCTTTGTAAATGAAAAAATCTGAACCCGTGAACCCATAGGTTTTGGCATCTATGACTTCTCTATCAGGTCACTTTCATCCTGAAGTGAGAATTGAGAAGTTAGGGTGTTCAGCAGATGACATAAAAACCACTCAGCATGGAGTAAGTCAACATTTTAAAAACTCAGGTCTCAGGCAGCTTATATAACACTTTAGAAGCGTGGAACTTCAGTTGAGATGGGTGGAATTGGAAAGAGTTGACAAAAAATAAAGATTTAGAAGAACCTTACTTATCACCTAAAGTCTATTATTTTTCATATGAGGTGAGCAAGTGCTCCAAAGCTACATGCATGGCTTTTTAGCCAAGCCAGGAGTAGATTCCAAGTGTTCTTTTTACTGTAGTCCACTTAGCCAGTCATGTTCACTCAGTGACGTACTGTAAAGAAAGTCTCAGCAAAACTTTGGTCATTGAATTGCTTTTGGTAACAAAGACCTTCCCGTCGTGATGCGTCAGTACAGCGCCTGGTATCTTTCCAGTGTTCGCTCAGGTCAGGAGGCCAGTATCACAGCATTTTCTCTTTGGCTGCCTTTCTAGGTAGTTCACTATTGTGAAACACATGTCGTGGCTTGGAACCTGGTTTTATGTGTTAAGGGAGACCACACTATTTGGCAAAAACATAGCACTTTAAGAACAGGAATCCCAGAGGTTGGAGTCAGGGAAGAGTGGCACATGTGGAGTGAGGCTGGTGGCATTCCAACTCTTAGGAGAGAGGCTGGTGGCATTCCCACTCTTAGGCCTCTTCAGCAGCATCTTGCGACATCAGAGACCAGTGGCATTCTGACTTTTAGATCTCTTTCAGTTTTGGTTTGCAGAAAGTCAAATTTCCCGTGATCATTACTGCCCATTTCCCAAAATATCTCATTGCAGATTCACAGGGTAGTTTTTCTGTCGCTTGCTGTAAAACGAGTGTAAGGATTCCATCCTCGAGGAGCAGCAGGTAACTGACAGATCCAGCCACAGCAGAAAGAATGAGTGTGAAGGAGCAGGAGTAAGACTGACAATGCGTAGAGATAACAAGTAGTGGCTGTGAGAAGCCATGAGGTTTAAAGGTTGTTTCTGGCTTTTCACCTGGTACATGTTTGTTTTACTAGAGACCAGGAGGACCCAGCAATGTTCTACGAGATGCATGTCTGGTTGCTAATATTCTAGATCCCAGGATCAAACAGGAAATCATCAAAAAGTTTATTAAACAGCATCTGTCAGAGTATCTGGTACTTTTTCAAGAAAACCAAGATGTGAGTATTGACCAAATAAGATCAGATGTAACATTTGAATTTTATTGAAACATGAGTGCTGTCAAGCCTACTAATTTAGACCTCGTATTACATGACTGTCTGACAGTGTTGGTTGTTGAGCTGTGAGTCCTAGGGGCTGAGTTTATAGTTCTTAACCATTTTGAGGTCACTGACCCTTTGGAGAAATTCAGAAACATGCACCTGTGCATAAAATTCTGCATATAGTTTCTGGAAATGTATAGACCCCTGAAGGCCAATCATGGACCCCAGGTTAAAAACCTCTGGATTTTGTGTGTGTGTGTGTGTGTGTGTGAGACGGAGTTTCGCTCTTGTTGCCCAGGCTGGAACGCAGTGGTGCGATCTCAGTTTACTGCAACCTTGCCTCCCGGGTTCAAGCAATTCTCCTGCCTCCCCCTCCCAAGTAGCTGGGATTACAGGCGCCTGTCACCACACCAGGCTAATTTTTGTATTTTTTAGTAGGGACGGGGTTTCTCCATGTTGGTCAGGCTGGTCTCGAACTGACCTCAGGTGATCTGCTGACCTCGGCCTCCCAAAGTGCTGGGATTATAGGCATGAGCCACTGCGCCCAGCCAAAAACCTCTGAATTTTTAAGTAAAAAATCAAGTTAAAAAGGTAGCCTAGATTCTTTAAAACCATGAGAAATACAGAGGTTGGTTCCCTTTTGCTTGGCTCTGTGTTTTTGCTTGTTTCCTTGAACTGCCATTTCTACTTCTAACCACTGGGGTGGCTTTTGATCTCCACCTTCACCAGGTTGCCTGGCTGGACAAAATCGACAGACGCTATGCCTGGATAAAACGCCAGCTTGTGGACTATGAGGAGAAATACGGCCGCATGTTTCCACGTGAGTGGTGCATGGCTGAGAGGATTGCGGTGGAATTTTGCCATGTGACAAGGTAGATGCCAGTTCTCTACTGGTTCTGTGGTTAATCAAATTTTCACCATCGGTTCCCCAGTCTCTAATGGTTCCATGTTGTCCTGTGGATTTGATGCCACTTCCAGACCCCACCAGATGACTAATATCATCCTCGTACCCCACAGTGGCCCCACCAGCTGCTCCCTCTGCCCCCATCTTTGCTCTGGGACTTTCCGTGGTGTAGTTCTTGCCTCAAGCCATCTCTACCTTCTCCACCAACTCAAGGCTTATACACCAGATTGACCTACAGTGATTCCTCTACCCCACGTTTTCCCCTAGTCGGTATCGCATGTATCAGTGTGCTGTGTATATATCCCATCATCATTTTTATTTTCTGACTTGCTAGATAGATAGTTCCATAGAGACAGGGTAGTATCTACCTTAATGATATAGCAGACACAGAGGAAACATTTGTTGAATGAATTTCCCACTCCCAATACAGTGTGTATAGCCTCTGGATAGTTCAGAGCTTTTATTTCAAGACAGAATCACTCTGTCACCCAGGCTGGAGTGCTGCAGTGATACAATCCCAGCTCACTGCCACCTCCATTTACTGCATTCAAGTGATTCTCATGCCTCAGTCTCCCAGGTAGCAAGGATTACAGGTGTGTGTAACCACACCTGGCTCATTTTTGTATTTTTAGTAGAGATGGGGTTTCACCACGTTGGCCAGGCTGGTCTTGAAGTCCCGACCTCAGGTGATCTGCCCGCCCATTTTAGCCTCCCGAAGTGCCGGGATTACAGGCATGAGCCACTGCACCTGGCCTGCGTCTGAGCTTTCCAAGCATTTTAAAGACCGTCTTTTGTTCATCCTCTCTACGTTATCCATGAGTGTAGCCCAAGGACAGATAGTCTCTTTATATTAAAAAAACCCAAAGCCCAGGAAGGTTAAATCAGTATATCTATGACAAAGCTAAAGCCAGAGTCAGACTTTTTTTTTTTTTTGAGACGGGGTCTCACTTTGTCACCCAGACTGGAGTGCAGTGGTGTGATCATGGCTCACAGCAGCCTTGACCTCCTAGGCTCAAGTGATTCTCCCACCTCAGCCTCCTGAGTAGCTGAGATGACAGGTGTGTGCCACCACACCGGCTAATTTTTGTGTGTGTATTTTTTGTAGAGACAAGAGTTTTGCTGTGTTGTTCGGGCTGGTCTTGAACTCCTTTTATTCTTTATTTGCGGCTAGACTACAACAGTGTTGGTAACTGGTTCTTATTAGTTATATATTTCCTCCCAGTAGTACACAGTTAGATCTAATGCTGGGTGAAAAAGAGAAAAAAAAGCCCATATCTAGCATAACTCAACCACCTTTTCCCATAATCCATGGCCGTCTTTTTTATTAAAATCATGGAAAGTAAAGTCAAATTGCATGTTTCAAACACATTGTGGGGCAAAAGTGTTTTAAGGGATATTGGCTTTTCTTAAAATAGATTTTACCTTTTAGAGCAGTTTTAGGTTCACAGCAGAATTGAGCAGAA
Organism: Homo sapiens; assembly: GCF_000001405.40. Taxonomy (NCBI): domain Eukaryota; kingdom Metazoa; phylum Chordata; class Mammalia; order Primates; family Hominidae; genus Homo; species Homo sapiens. The sequence continues at coordinate 185,155 of NW_017363817.1, read as the reverse complement.
GACACAGAGAGTTCCCAGGTGCTCCCGGCCCCACGTGCATAGTCTTCCCCATGGTCGGCACCTTCCGCCAGAGCGATGCATTTATCACAGCTCATGAAACTACACGGACACATCATCATTACCCAGAGTGATGGTCCATAGTTCATGGTAGTGTTCACGCTTGGTGTTCACATACATTCTGTGTGGCTTTTTTTTTTTTTTTTAAGAGATGGGGGTCTCGCAGTGTTGCCCAGGCTGGAGTACAATGGCTATTCACAGGCATGGTAATAGCGTACCCCAGCCTTGAACTCCCGGGCTCAGGCAGCCCTCCTGCTTCAGCCACCCAAGTAGCTGCAACTACAGGTGCACTGAGCTCCATTCTGTGTGGCTGTTATTCTAAGAAACACATTGGGCCAGGCTTGGTGGTTTATGCCTATAATCCTAGCATTTCAGGAGGCCAAGGCAGGTGGATCATATGAGCCTAGGAGTTTGAGACAAGCCTGGGCAACATGGCAAAACCCCATCTCTACAAAAAATGCAAAAATTAGCTGGTCATGGTGGCAAGCACCTGTAATCCCAGCTACTAGAGAGGCTGAGGTGGGAGGATTGCTTGAGCCCAGGTCAAGGTTGCAGTAGGCCATTATCATGCCATTGCACTCCAGCCCTGGGTGACAGAGTGAGACCCTGTCTCAAAAAAAAAAAAAGAAGAGAGAGAAAGACAGAGAAGGAAGGAAGTGAGGAAGGGAGGGAGGGAGGGAGGGAGGGCGAGTGGAAGGGAAAAAGAAAGAAAGAGGAAGAAAAAAAAAGAAACACATTGACTCCTGTAGATTTAGAGAACCTTTTAGCATTGGTTTAAGATGAGTTGAGATTGTCACCTTCTAAATCCCAATTAACAAAATAAAGAGTGAATTCCTTGAGAAACTGTTAGCTAATTCTTTTTAGCCTACAGTTCAGCAGACTTGCAAACCAGCTCAGTGAGAAATGGAGCCTGGGAGAGGCTGGACGTATGCTAGAGCCAGCACGTTTCTTGTGAGCGCCAGTACCTGCCATTGTTGTCTCGGCTAATGGCAGTGTTGCTGCCAAGCTTCTATTGTTAGAATTTTGGCTAAAATCCTACAGATACATCATTCTCAAATAAACTCAGAGACTCTTTGTTTCATTTTGTCATTTATTTGTGTGAGAAGATGGTAGCTTAGTCCTTACTAAGAACTCACATGTCCCTGTTCACCAGCAACTGAGCTTCTGAGATGGAACGTTTGAGTGAGAGCTGCACAGGAGCTTCTCGGGCAGGGACCAGCTAAGCGTGCTTGCCACTTTTCCCGCAGGGATCCTGTCCCTTGCGTGTGTTTCCAGGACTCCTGCTCTCTAGTTGAAGAGATGATTATTGGGCCCTCAGGAAGAGGGAGGGCTTTATAATTCAGTAATTAATGACTTGTGAAATTATATAGGCTATATACACTAATAAAAAATTAGGTGCTCCATATGTATTATTATCCAATTATTAAACTGTTCAAAGATACAGGCAACGTAGTAACTATGTAACCAAATTACTGGTGGCTCACACCTATAATCCCAGCACTTTGGGAGGCCGAGGTGGGCGGATCTCTTGAGGTCAGGAGTTTGAGACCAGCCTGGCCAACATGGTGAAACACTATCTCTACTAAAAATACAAAAAAAAAAAAGAATCATTTGAACCCAGGAGGTGGAGGTTCCAGCCTGGGCGACAGAGGGAGACTCCATCTCAAATAAATAAATAAATAAATAAACAAACAAATAAATATAAGTATATATATATCATCCATGACCCCTGATTTTTTTGCCTGGTGGATAATTTCACCTTAAAAATCTTGTTTAGAATATGTATTTCTATTCCCCAGGTTTTAGACTAAGGTGGTAACAGACCTCAGGGTTTGAAATGACCACATACATTTTTTTTTTCTGAATATAAGCTAAGGCCATTTACCTTATCTCTACTGAATGAATGATCAGCTTGTTTGATAGTATTCTTATCTCTTTGTTTTGAAGGGCAGAACTTGCCAAGATTATGCGTACCAGAGCGAAGGAAATTGAAGTGAAATTGCTTCTTTTTGCTATTCAAAGAACAACTAACTTTGAGGGGTTTCTTGCAAAACGCTTCTCCGGCTGCACCCTGACCGATGGGACCCTGGTAAGACCTTCCCTAGGGAGCTGCCACGTGAAATCAGTGGGTTGGGTGGTTGGGATTCAGGGTTTCACTGTATGGTGACTCTATCCATTGGCTTCGGTGCTTAACCCCTCATTGCAGTGATTTCACTGAGCTGCTGGGAAAGTGATGATACAGAACACTCTGTGTGGATTTATTGTTTGTCTCTTACGCAGTACATCATGTTTCTAGAATGCCCTGTCATCATTTTTCTTAAGTATTGATCCCATTTTACAGACTAGTAATTTTGTGAGTCAGAGGCCTTACTCAGTCACAAATACCTTATTTCTTTATCAGTTATCAGATTTGGTTACAATTAGGATATGTTTTTACTTTAGGGTTTACCTTTTAACATCTCTGGTGAACAAACTAGGTCAATGAGTCTCTGTAAACCCCAAAGCCAGGTATACAGGCCTGGGGACTACGTGCCTCCATTGGAAAGGTGGAACATAGTACTGCCGGTTAAACGTTTGTCTCTGTGTAGTCAAAGACCAGGTCCAAATTTTCACTCCGGAAACCTCTTCTTTTTGGTCTGATGCAGTGGCTCACACCTGTATAATCCCAGCACTTTGGGAGGCCAAGGCAGGATTGCTTGAGACCAGGAGTTCGAGACCAGCCTGGGCAACATAGTGAGACCTCATCCCTACAAAAAAAAAAAAATTAGTCGGGTGCACCCCTTAGTCCCAATCACTTGGGAGGCTGAGGCAGGAGGATCACTTCAGCCCAGGAGTTGAGGCTGCAGTGAGCTATGATGAGTGACAGAGTGACACCCTATCTCTAAAAAAAAAGAAAAGAAAGAGAAAGGAGTAAACCTCTTCTCTTTGGAGGCCCAGGCTCCCTGCTAACACATCAAGGTGCTCTCTTCAGATTTCCTGTCCACTGGGAAACCAAGTGACTCTGTTCTATGGTAATTTCTGTTTGCATCATTACATATGCGTAGACATTGAGCTCCTTGAATACAGGAATTGTAGCTGACTCATCCGTCTCCTCGAGTCGTGCAGAGTGTACACAGAACCCATGCAGGCAGGAATGGAAGGGGAAAGAAGAAAGGAGGGAGGGAAGAAGAAATCCAAGTTGAGAGAATCATACCTTTGAATTTTCTTTAGAGCTAGATTTGTTTTTTTTTTTTAAACTGCGGGTAACAATAGAGAAGCAAAGTGATTTAGTAGCAAAATCCTTGGACCAGCAGTCAAGACTTGTGGTCTAATCCCGATTCTGCTGTAATGTAGTGAACTGCCTTCCCTGTTAAATGAGAAGAAAAGACTATCCTTTATTTTTTTATTTTTTTGTTTTTTCATTTTGTTTTTTAGACAGAGTCTTGCTCTGTCAGCAGGCTGGAGTGCAGTGGGGCGATATCGGCCCACTGCAACCTCTGCCTCCCAGGTTCAAGCAATTCTCCTGCCTCAGCCTCCTGGGTAGCTGGGATTACAGGTGCACACCACTAAGCCTGGCTAATTTTTGTATTTTTAGTAGAGACGGGGTTTCACCATGTTGACCAGGCTGGTCTCAAACTCCTGACCTCAGGTGATCTGCCCGCCTCGGCCTCCCAAAGTGCTGGGATTCCAGGTGTGAGCCACCATGCCCACCTATCCTTTAATAACAGAATATTAGGGAGACTAAATAAGACATAAAACCCAAAAGCCATGAAGAAAAGTACTAAAAGGTTTAACAACATAAAGAGAACAACGTTCTTTTGGAAAAAGAGACCAGAAACATAATCAAGGGATTAAAAAACAGTTGAAGCTGCATGACACAAACGATTAATATCTAGCACATGTAAAGAACTCCTAAAAATCCATAAGGAAAATACGAGTAACCCGTTAGAAAAATGAGTACAGAGTCAGACAGACGATTGACTGAAGAAATTCAGTTGGCTAATAAACATGAAAAAAAAGAAAACAGGATATTTTTCCTACATCAGGTTTGCAAACAGAAAAAAATTACAAGACTAACAGTACAGGATTTTAGGGCTAGTATACAGCTTGATACAACCTTTTTGGTGCATAAATTGTCATTATCAGAACTTTCAGAAATGTAAATATGCATGTCCTGTCAAGCAACAATTTTACATCTAAACCAGAAGTCTAAAAAAAAATCCATACATGTAGAGGAAGATGCACAAAGAAAGAGGTGAACTGCAGCCTTAAAAGCAAAAGGCTTGGCTGTGTCTGTAATGTTTATTATTGAAGATGGTTAAATAAATTACAGTGCATCCATACTGTGAGATGCTACACAGCAGTTTAAAAGTGGTAGAACGGGGGCCGGACGCAGCAGCTCACGCCTGTCATCCCAGCACTTTGGGAGGTATAATGTCTTTTATGGAAAAAGTAAAAAGCATGTTTATGTGTGTAAATGTATAAGAAAGAGGTCTGGAAATGGTAACAGTGGATGTCTCTTGGGAAGGAAGTTGGAGTGAGAGTAGGTAGAGAAGCAAGGAAATATTTTTTTCCATTTACTCTGGTATAGTTTTTTTGGAAATTTTCTTATACAAATGCATTTACATACTTTGTGTGTACTTTAACAAAGTTATTTTTCAATTGTTTTAAAATGAGAGAGATGGGCCAAATCAGTGATTTCCAAATCCTTTCTTGTAACAAAATCTAATGTAGAGGCCGGGTGCGGTGGCTCATGCCTATAATCCCAGCACTTTGAGAGGCTGAGGTGGGATGATCACTTAAGGTCAGGAGTTTGAGAGCAGCCTGGCTACCGTGACAAAACCCCATCACGACTAAAAATACAAAAAATTAGTCAGGCGTGGTGGTGGGTGCTGCCAAGGTTGCGCCACTGCACTCCAGCCTGGGCGACAGAGTGAGACTCCATCTCAAAAAAAAAAAAAAAATAGAATGTAGAATCTGAAACACCCATAGCTGTCATGCTTTGAACATCCACTTGGTGACCCACGCTATATTAGGTGCGTTTACCTGCAGTCAGTCACTGTGCTTCATCAGCCATAGGAAGTAGGCGCTGTGCTCATTTGAAACTTACTCCAGGCCACGGAGCTAATGTGTAAGACCGTGAAACTGAGCTACTGTGGTTGAAGCCGGGGGCAGGCTGGGACTTGTACCTGGAGTCCCACTCACTTGTTCAACCTTCACCTCTGCCACCTTCTCTAGCTCCTACCCTTCTGGTCCTAAAACCCTGAGACTTCAGTGCAATTCCCTCTTTGTCCCATGAGACCAGCCTCAGAGCAGGTGAAGCGGGTGAATCGGGCTGGTCTTTAGACAGGGTGGAGCAGGTGAATCGGGCTGGCCTTTCAGGCAATGGACTGCAGAGCGGTGGTGGCAGCAGCCCAATTTTGAGGCCAGACCACAAGGTCCTGCCTACTTGGGCTCACTCACGACTTTATTAGAATAAAATGCAGCTGAAACCACAAAGCACTCTTTTCCTACTTAGCACATCAAAAATATGTATACTTCTCTGCTTGCTAACTAATGTTCAATATTGATTTCTTTTTAGTAACAAGGGAAAAAAATGGGTCACAAAACAGGTGAAAATAGCCTTAAAGAAAATGCAGGTCAGAAAAGGAAATACTAGCGGGGCGTGGTGGCGCACGCCTGTAGTCCCAGCTACCCGGGAAATACTAGCGGGGCGTGGTGGCGCACGCCTGTAGTCCCATCTACCCGGGAAATATTAGCGGGGCGTGGTGGTGCACGCCTGTAGTCCCAGCTACCCGGGAAATATTAGCGGGGCGTGGTGGTGCACGCCTGTAGTCCCAGCTACCCGGGAAATATTAGCGGGGCGTGGTGGTGCACGCCTGTAGTCCCAGCTACCCGGGAAATATTAGCGGGGTGTGGTGGTACACGCCTGTAGTCCCAGCTACCCGGGAAATATTAGCGGGGTGTGGTGGTGCACGCCTGTAGTCCCAGCTACCCGGGAAATATTAGCGGGGTGTGGTGGTGCACGCCTGTAGTCCCAGCTACCCGGGAAATATTAGCGGGGTGTGGTGGTGCATGCCTGTAGTCCCAGCTACCCGGGAAATATTAGCGGGGTGTGGTGGTGCACGCCTGTAGTCCCAGCTATCCGGGAAATATAAGCAGGCGTGGTGGTGCACGCCTGTAGTCCCAGCTACCCGGAAAATATTAGTGGGGTGTGGTGGTGCACGCCTGTAGTCCCAGCTACCCGGGAAATATTAGCGGGGCATGGTGGTGCGCGCCTGTAGTCCCAGCTACCCGGGAAATATTAGCGGGGCGTGGTGGTGCGCGCCTGTAGTCCCAGCTACCCGGAAAATATTAGCAGGTGTGGTGGTGCACACGTGTAGTCCTAGCTACCCAGGAAATATTAGCAGGCGTCGTGGGCACCTGTAGTCCCAGCTACCCGGGAAATATTAGCAGGCGTCGTGGGCACCTGTAGTCCCAGCTACCTGGGAAATATTAGCAGGCGTGGTGGTGCACACCTGTAGTCCCAGCTACCCGGGAAATATTAGCTGGGCGTGGTGGTGCACGCCTGTAGTCCCAGCTACCCGGGAAATATTAGCGGGGCGTGGTGGTGTGCGCCTGTAGTCCCAGCTACCCGGGAAATATTAGCAGGCGTGGTGGTGCACACGTGTAGTCCCAGCTACCCAGGAAATATTAGCAGGCGTGGTGGGCGCCTGTAGTCCCAGCTACCCAGAAAATATTAGCAGGCGTGGTGGGCGCCTGTAGTCCCAGCTACCCGGGAAATATTAGCAGGTGTGGTGGTGCACACGTGTAGTCCCTGCTACCCAGGAAATATTAGCAGGCCTGGTGGGCGCCTGTAGTCACAGTTACCCGGGAAATATTAGCGGGGCATGGTGGTGCACGCCTGTAGTCCCAGCTACCCAGGAAATATTAACAGGCATGGTGGTGCATGCCTGTAGTCCCAGCTACCCAAGAAATATTAGCAGGTGTCGTGGGCACCTGTAGTCCCAGCTACCCGGGAAATATTAGCTGGGCATGGTGGTGCATGCCTGTAGTCCCAGCTACCTGGGAAATAATAGCGGGGCCTGATGGCGCATGCCTGTAGTCCCAGCTACCCAGGAAATATTAGTGGGGTGTGGTGGCGCATGCCTGTAGTCCCAGCTACCCGGGAAATATTAGTGGGGCGTAGTGGCGCACGCCTGTCGTCCCAGCTACCCGGGAAATATTAGTGGGGCGTGGTGGTGCACGCCTGTAGTCCCAGCTACCCGGGAAATATTAGTGGGGCGTGGTGGTGCACCCCTGTAGTCCCAGCTACCCAGGAAATATTAGTGGGGCGTGGTGGCGCACGCCTGTAGTCCCAGCTACCCGGGAAATATTAGCAGGCGTGGTGGTGCACGCCTGTAGTCCCAGCTACCCGGGAAATATTAGTGGGGCGTGGTGGCGCACGCCTGTAGTCCCAGCTACCCGGGAAACATTAGTGGGGCGTGGTGGCGCACGCCTGTAGTCCCAGCTACCCGGGAAATATTAGTGGGGCGTGGTGGCGCACGCCTGTAGTCCCAGCTACCCGGGAAATATTAGTGGGGCGTGGTGGCGCACGCCTGTAGTCCCAGCTACCCGGGAAATATTAGTGGGGCGTGGTGGCGCACGCCTGTAGTCCCAGCTACCCGGGAAATATTAGTGGGGCGTGGTGGCGCACGCCTGTAGTCCCAGCTACCCGGGAAACATTAGTGGGGCGTGGTGGTGCACGCCTGTAGTCCCAGCTACCCGGGAAATATTAGTGGGGCGTGGTGGCGCACGCCTGTAGTCCCAGCTACCCGGGAAATATTAGTGGGGCGTGGTGGCGCACGCCTGTAGTCCCAGCTACCCGGGAAATATTAGTGGGGCGTGGTGGCGCATGCCTGTAGTCCCAGCTACCTGGGAAATAATAGCGGGGCCTGATGGCGCATGCCTGTAGTCCCAGCTACCCGGGAAATATTAGTGGGGCGTGGTGGTGCATGCCTGTAGTCCCAGCTACCTGGGAAATAATAGCGGGGCCTGATGGCGCACGCCTGTAGTCCCAGCTACCCGGGAAATATTAGTGGGGCGTGGTGGCGCACGCCTGTAGTCCCAGCTACCTGAGAGGCTGAGACAGGAGGATCACTTTAGCCCAGAAGGCAGAGGTTGCAATGAACTGAGATTGCACCACTGCACTCCAGTCTGGGTGACAAAGTGAGACTGTCTCAAAAAAACAGAAAAGGAAAGGAAATAGGAACAGAGATCCCACTGAAGGAATCCTGAGTTTCTCCTGAGAAGTATGAGGTTGGCTTTAGCAGCCCCCTGATTCCTCTTGCTGGCTCTCCTCTCGGACCTTCCCAAGCCATGCTCCTGCCTGGTTTCAAGCGTAGATATATGTGGCACTGGATTCAGCCCTACGGAGATCTGCCCGGCGACAAGCATGAGGGTTCAGCATTGAGCACAGGCCCCACCCTGGGAGTAGCCCCCTGAGCTCCCACGGCCTCTGGCTGGGCAGGGTCCGGAGAGCATCAGGACAGGCTCTGTGAGCTGGTAATCCAGATAACCGGACGGGAAATAGGTCCCAGTGAAGGATGCTTGAATGACATTCTTGCCAAGCACTTGTTTTGAGCCATTCTTCACCCTCTCTGGCTGGGCCCTACTTCCTGGTGATTTGTCTTTTACATTTAGGGAGCTATAGGACCACAGAGGAACAAATGGCCCTGTTGCATCTGAGGACCAGGGTAGCCTGTGAACCTGGGTCTGTCCCAGGACCTCTCCAAGGAAAAATCCCCCAAAGGCCAAAAGTGGTAAGGGAACGAGGGCAGGGAAGGCCCTTCTGGACAAGCTGAGGCAGCTGAACAGGGTAACCACGTAGAGACCATGAAAAACTGACAGGAGCTTACTCAAGTTTGCAAAGACAATGCTTTATTGTAAAACACAGGTACAGGACTGTCAGAATGGCAGTTGGCCAACTGTCAGACACCTTCTGTCCCGGGAGGACTGGGCTGGGGGTACTGGTTTCTCAGGGCAGCACAGCCCCTTTCTGCCTGAACTCACTCGGCCAGGGCCAAGCTCCTGGCCTGGAGCCCAGTGTCTCCTGGCCGAGGTGGTGCTCTGTGGTGGTGGTCAGGGGTCAGCTAGGAACACTTGAGCCTTTTTCCCCAGCTCCTTCCTTTTTGGTTTTCATATTTGAAATGTTTTGGCAGAACTGGTCTTTAAATCATCCCCTCTTCATTGTTCAGTTGTTGCTCTCCTCTCCTCTCAAGTTTGCAGAGTTTCAGGTTCTAAATCCTTAGCCAGAAAAGCCTGATGAACACCATGAGTTCTTTCTTTCCCTCTCTATTTAGTCAGCTCTCCTCTCCACAGACTTCTCTAAATCCTTCAGCTTCTTTAATTCAACTTCGTCCTCCTACCCTATTCTTTGTGCCAGGTATCACGACCTGGCAGTTATTCTGCATTCCAAATCCTGAAAATGGCTGTCTGATATCCTTCAAGGGTTTTCCCTTAAAGATAAGTTTCTAGGAAGGCAACAGAAGCCCTATGGCCACTTTACCCAGGTGGGACGGGCCTTGAGGAATCGGTTCACTGCAGCTCTGCTGTGAGGAGACGTGAAGGCTGTCACTCTAGCTGATGTTCACACTGAGCCTGGTCCCCACCATCATCTCATTGTGGGCCGTGCACGACCTTCTTCACCTTTATTCTGCGACCCTCAGTGGCAGGGACCTTGGTGAATTCATCATGGCTACCGACCATGCTCCCAACGCAAAGCACCGGGAAGGGGCTGCCTGGGCAAGGCCAGGAGTTCCAGCTGTCCTGACCCCCAGTCTAGCTGCTGGGTACCCTGCCTGGAGATATGCTGCTCCCTGGCCCCTGACCCCTTCCCCATGCTACCTTCCTTTCAGGATACACTCTTTGGAAACTCCTTTTTGGCTACCATTTTGTTTCAAAATACCAGAATAAATTGTGAAACGAACCAAGGTATATCTTGATACCCTTTGATATATGCCAGATTTTATAGAAAGTTACTGAATTCCTCAGAAAGGTGCCACAAAACAGGTAAGATGTCAGCCAAGGAGCCAAAACGGCCAGAGACTCTCCCTTGCTGCCCCTCCCTAGGCTGTACGTCATCCCCACCCTACCCCCACTGCCGCCTTCACTGTATCATTCCAAACCTCTCCAGTCCTTGGTGACTGGCAGTGAAACAGTGAGGATGAGCTTGAGAGTGTGGCCAGCTCGCCCGGAAGACAAGACCTGCCACAGCTCAGCTCCTCCTGACCCATCACTCCTGACTTCAGTGGGATGCATCATCCTTGGCTCTTTTTCAAGAGCTGTGACTTCAACATTTGATAGAACTTTAGACTGAAAGAGCCTCAGGGACAGGCTTGTTGCTTAACCAGTTTCACGATGTCCTGTGCTGTAACTGTTACTTGAGGAGGTGAGCTGCCTGTGCTTTTCCCAGTTGCCTCAACTTCTGACCCTTTAGGAGGAATTCAAGAGAGTCTATAAATTAAAATGCCTTGAAATTAAAAGAGAATGTCTGGATGTGATGTAACTGGATCCATATGCATTATTAGTGACTTGATGATTAGATTCAAGGTGAGCAAATGACATTCAGCCTTCTGCTGAAAGCAGAAAAGCAGACTAGATCGGATTAGCTTTTTATAACTGCCTCACTGGGAGGTTTTTGTTTTGTTTTTTGTTTTTTTTGTAGTAATAAAATTAAAAATGTTCCCCTTTTATGCAGCTGGATTTCCCTTCCTCTTGACCACTGCATAAGTTGCCTTTTGAAACAGACTTGTCCTTTGGCTTATAGGGGCCTTTACTTCCCCAGTTTTTAGAATTACATTCTAAAGATAGAAGCTATATGGGTACAATTGTCAGCCATGGAATTTGAGTGTAAGAGCGTTTGCAAAAGGCTCACGACTCATGAAAGACCACCCAGCATGTCTCACTCTACACCCTGGTCTTCCGGCACCTGCATGAGGGAGACTGTGTAAGGAACAGGGGCAGGTTTTCCAGCTCTGCCACAGCTTGAGGACATCTGTCTCCGACAGTGACAGATTCCCCCGCCTCATGCACTCCCTTCAGCGTTGGAAAATATTTTATGGATGCTTTACTGGTGCTAAAGAAATGTATTCTTCCATTTGAATAATATTGCAAGGGACGATTAACTTCTGTTTCTGAGAAGAGAATAATACAGGGTCAGGATAGAAAATTTGGAAATTATGGCGAGAATAGAGAAGCAGGAAAAAAGTCATCCAAATCAGAGATGAGGATTTGGGTATATTCTTTCTATATATTTTACATGGTTGAAATTGTATTTTTTTAAATACAGTTTTCTCTGCCTAGTTTTTAAAATTGAGATATAACTCATGTCACGAAATGTCACATGAAATTTATCGTTTAAAGTATACAGTTCAGTTGGTTTTCATATATTCATAAGATGATGCCACGATCCCAGCTGTGCAACTCCAGGACATTTCTGTTACCCCAGAAGAAATCCCTCCTTAGCAGGCAGGACTTTCAAGTTCTCTTTCCCCAGTCCTGGGCAGTTACGAATTGACTTTTGTCTTTACGGATGCCTGTTGTGGACACTTCACATAAACGGATGCTACGATGTGTGGTTTTTGTGTCTGCCTTCCCTCCCTCTGGACAGTGTCTGCGAGCCTTACCCATGATGAGGTGTGTGTCAGTGCATCATTTTGATGGCTGAATAGTGCACCGTTGTGTGGGTGATGCACATATTGTTGTCTCTTCCATCAGCTGTGGACATTCGGGTGGTTTCCACTTTTTCACTGTGTGAATACTGCTGTGAGTATCTGTACAGGTTTTCACTGTGTGAACTCACTGTGAATATTTGTACAGGTTTTCACTGTGTGAATTCACTATTTGAATACTGCTATGAATATCTGTACAGGTTTTCACTGTGTGAACTCACTATGTGAATATTTGTACAGGTTTTCACTGTGTGAATTCACTATTTGAATACTGCTGTGAATATCTGTACAGGTTTTCACTGTGTGAACTCACTATGTGAATATTTGTACAGGTTTTCACTGTGTGAATTCACTATTTGAATACTGCTGTGAATATCTGTACAGGTTTTCACTGTGTGAACTCACTATGTGAATATTTGTACAGGTTTTCACTGTGTGAACTCACTATGTGAATATTTGTACAGGTTTTCACTGTGTGAATTCACTATTTGAATACTGCTGTGAATATCTGTGCAGGTTTTCACTGTGTGAATTCACTATTTGATTACTGCTGTGAATATCTGTGCAGGTTTTCACTGTGTGAACTCACTATGTGAATATTTGTACAGGTTTTCACTGTGTGAATTCACTATTTGAATACTGCTGTGAATATCTGTACAGGTTTTCACTGTGTGAATACTGCTGTGAATATCTGTGCAGGTTTTCACTGTGTGAACTCACTATGTGAATATTTGTACAGGTTTTCACTGTGTGAATTCACTATTTGAATACTGCTGTGAATATCTGTACAGGTTTTCACTGTGTGAATACTGCTGTGAATATCTGTACAGGTTTTCACTGTGTGAACTCACTATGTGAATATTTGTACAGGTTTTCACTGTGTGAATTCACTATTTGAATACTGCTGTGAATATCTGTACAGGTTTTCACTGTGTGAACTCACTATGTGAATATTTGTACAGGTTTTCACTGTGTGAATTCACTATTTGAATACTGCTGTGAATATCTGTGCAGGTTTTCACTGTGTGAACTATGTGAATATTTGTACAGGTTTTCACTGTGTGAATTCACTATTTGAATACTGCTGTGAGTATCTGTACAGGTTTTCACTGTGTGAACTCACTATGTGAATATTTGTACAGGTTTTCACTGTGTGAATTCACTATTTGAATACTGCTGTGAATATCTGTACAGGTTTTCGCTGTGTGAACTATGTGAATATTTGTACAGGTTTTCACTGTGTGAATTCACTATTTGAATACTGCTGTGAATATCTGTACAGGTTTTCGCTGTGTGAACTCACTATATGAATATTTGTACAGGTTTTCACTGTGTGAATTCACTATTTGATTACTGCTGTGAGTATCTGTACAGGTTTTCACTGTGTGAACTCACTATGTGAATATTTGTACAGGTTTTCACTGTGTGAATTCACTATTTGAATACTGCTGTGAATATCTGTACAGGTTTTCGCTGTGTGAACTATGTGAATATTTGTACAGGTTTTCACTGTGTGAATTCACTATTTGAATACTGCTGTGAATATCTGTACAGGTTTTCACTGTGTGAACTCACTATGTGAATATTTGTACAGGTTTTCACTGTGTGAATTCACTATTTGAATACTGCTGTGAATATCTGTACAGGTTTTCACTGTGTGAACTCACTATGTGAATATTTGTACAGGTTTTCACTGTGTGAATTCACTATTTGAATACTGCTGTGAATATCTGTACAGGTTTTCACTGTGTGAACTCACTATGAATATTTGTACAGGTTTTCACTGTGTGAATTCACTATTTGAATACTGCTGTGAGTATCTGTACAGGTTTTCACTGTGTGAACTCACTATGTGAATATTTTTACAGGTTTTCACTGTGTGAACTCACTGTGAATATTTGTACAGGTTTTCACTGTGTGAATTCACTATTTGAATACTGCTGTGAATATCTGTACAGGTTTTCACTGTGTGAACTATGTGAATATCTGTACAGGTTTTCACTGTGTGAACTCACTATGTGAATACTGCTGTGAATATCAGTACAGGTTTTCACTGTATGAACTCACTATGTGAATATTTGTACAGGTTTTCACTGTGTGAATTCACTATTTGAATACTGCTGTGAATATCTGTGCAGGTTTTCACTGTGTGAACTCACTATGTGAATATTTGTACAGGTTTTCACTATGTGAACTCACTATGTGAATATTTGTACAGGTTTTCACTGTGTGAACTCACTATGTGAATACTGCTGTGAATATCGGTACAGGTTTTCACTGTATGAATACTGCTGTGAATATTTGTACAGGTTTTCGTGTCAGCGTGTTTCCTATTCTTGTGAGAATATACCTGAGTGGAATTGCTGGGTCACATGGTAACCCTAGGCTTAACTTTTTGAGGAACTGCAAACTGTTTTCGAAGCAGCCACACGGTTTTACATTTCTACCCACAATGTAGGAGGGTCCAGTTTCCCCATATCCTTGCTGACGCGTGTCTCCTTTGTTCCCCTAATTATAGCCATTCTCATGGGTGTAGAGTAGTATCTCCTTGTGGTTTTCATTTGCTTTTTCCCATTGACTAGTGACATTGCACAGCTTCTTTAAAGAAATGTCTATTCAGCTGGGTGTGGTGGCTCACGCCTGTAATCCCAGCACTGTGGGAGGCCGAGGTGGGAGCATCACCTCAGGTCAGGAGTTCAAGACCAGCCTGGCCAACATGGTGAAACCCCGTCTGTACTAAAAATACAAAACTTAGCCAGGCGTGGTGGCGGGTGCCTATAATCCCAGCTACTCGGGAGGCTGAGGCAGGAGAATCGCTTGAACCCAGGAGGTGGAGGTTTCAGTGAGCTGAGATTGCGCCACTCATGTCTCAAAAAAAAGGAAATGTCTATTCACATTTTTTGCCCATTTTTTAGTTGGATTGTTTTTATTGTTGAGTTGTAAGAGTTGTTTACACATTCTAGATATATTCTATAACTTTTTTTTTTTTTTCTTGAGACAGAGTCTCACTCTGTTGCCCAGGCTGGAGTTCAGTGGTGAGATCTCGGCTCACTGCAACCTCTGCCTCCTGGGTTCAAGCAATTCTCGGACCTCAGTCTCCTGGGTAGCTGGGACCACAGGAGCGCAGCACCATGCCAGGCTAATTTTTGTATTTTTTGTATTTTTTTTTTTTTTTTTTAGTAGAGGCGGGGTTTTGCCGTGTTGGCCAGGCTGGTCTTGAACTCCTGGCCTCAAGTGATCCACCCGCCTCGACCTCTCATAGTGCTGGGATTATAGGCGTGAGCCACCATGCCCAGGCTTTATAACTTCTTTAGATATTTTATCATGTATCAGACATATGATTTGCCAATGTTTTCTCCCATCTGTGGGTTTTCACTCTCTTGATAGTCATTTCACAGGATTTCCGTTTTAATGAAGGTTTTTTGTTCTTGCTTGTGTTTAGTGTCATATCCAAGAAACTGTTACGTAATCCAAGGCTACAGAGACTTACCTAGGTTTCCTCCTAAGAGTTTTATAGTTTCAGCTGCTACATTTATATCTTTGATCCATTTTGAGTTAATTTCCATATTAACTCACACACACATATGAAAATATGCTTCATATGTCACAGCTTAAGTTGTTTCTCAACTACTACAGAAAGATTTTATTCTATAGATACTCAGTGATTCCCCTAATTATTCTTTTCTCGTAGGACCCTTAGTTTTTTCTCACTTTTATAAATAGGGCTATATGAATATTTTTGTCTACTAATTTGTGTGTGTGTGTGTGTGTGTGTGTGTGTGTGTGTGTGTGTGTGTGTGTGTGACGGAGTCTCACTCTGTCGCCCAGGCTCGAGTGCAGTGGCGCGATCTCGGCTCACTGCAAGCTCTGCCTCCTGGGTTCACGCCATTCTCCTGCCTCAGCCTCCGCGTAGCTGGGACTACAGGCGCCCGCCACCACGCCTGGCTAATTTTTTTTTTTATATTTTTAGTAGAGACGGTTTCACCATGTTAGCCAGGAGGGTCTCGATCTCCTGACCTCGTGATCCGCCCACCTCGGCCTCCCAAAGTGCTGGGATTACAGGCGTGAGCCACCGCACCCGGCCTTGTCTACTAATTTTATATGCATTTGAGATTGTTTTTTTCCTCTCTTCTCTTCTCTCTTCTCTCCTCTTCGCTGTCTCTTACCCAAAGCAGTGAGATGATTTTCTTACGACACTAGTGGAATTATCGGCTCAAGTTGTGAGCACTTTCAATTTCAGCCTCTGCTTTAAACATCTTTCTGTTCCTCTTCCTTTCTGTTCTTCCAAATGCAGTTAAGATTTAAAAGTAGTCCCTGCTTGTTTCAGTGCATCTCACAGTGTTAATGTGCCATGCCTAATGTGAAGGGGTAACTCTGCCAAATAGAAAAAGCAAAGCAATCTGAATTCTTTTTTTTTAATTACACATTTCTACTTCTAAGTATATGCCCAAGGGAATTAAAAACATATGTTCGTATGTCTTACACAAATGTTCATAGCAACACTATTCACAATAGCCAAAAAGTAGAAACATCAGTAGACAAGGAATAACCAAAACGTGGTCTGTCCGTACAGTGGAATATTATTCACGTAAAAGGAATGAAGTGCTGATACGTGCCCTGACCTGGGTGAACCTTGGACACACCATGCCGAGTGAAAGAAGCCAGACACAGATGTCACACATTATATGATTCCATCTATAGGAAATACCCAAAAGAGGCAAATCCATAGAGGCCGATGGGGTTGGGAAGGGGAAGACTGGGAAGTAACAGCTTCCCAGTAACAGGTAGGGGTTGCTTTTGGGGGTGAAAAATGTTCTGGAATTGGTGGTGATGGCTGCACAACCTTGTGAATGTCCGAAAACCACTGAATAGTAAATCACTTTAAAATGTTGAGTTTTATGTGACATGAATTACATCACAATTTAGAATTAAAGGCTTTAGAAGATAGTGTATGAGTTTAGTTATAAATCATCTTTACTCTTCAGATAAATATTCTGTCAAAAAAAAAAATGAGCAGTGGGCCGG
Source organism: Homo sapiens (assembly GCF_000001405.40). Taxonomy (NCBI): domain Eukaryota; kingdom Metazoa; phylum Chordata; class Mammalia; order Primates; family Hominidae; genus Homo; species Homo sapiens. Next base: position 168,383 of record NW_017363817.1, on the reverse strand, counting down.
GCATAATGGCTCATGCCTAAAATCCCAGCGCTTTGGGAGGCCGAGGTGGGCAGGTCTCTTACAGCCAGGAGTTTGAGACCAGCCTGGGCCACGAAGACCCTGTCTCTAAAAAAAAATTTTAAAATGAGCAGGGCGTGGTAGTGTGCACTTGCATTCTTAGCTACTCAGGAGGCTGAGGTGCAAGGGTCACCTAAGTCCAGGAGTTCAAGACTGCAGTGAGCTGTGATTGCACCACTGCACTTCATCCTGGGTGGAAGAGTGAGGCTCTGTTTCAAAAAAAAAAAGAAAAGAAAAGAAAAGAAAAAAGCAGAAATAGCTATATATGCCTATTAAAAACTCAAATAGAAAAAAAAATTTTAAATAAACATCTCTTCTTAACTACTGTATATCCCTCCCCCTGGAGGTATCCACACTGTTTAATTCTTTGGGGTATATTTTTGACGCTTCTGCAAGCACGCTTGCACACATATACGCAGGCTTTTTGTTTTGTTTACAGAAAATAGAAAGTGTTGCCCATGTTTCTGAAGAGGATTTTATTGAGGGCCTTTCATCTGATCAGCATTTACCCACTTATATTTTTCAAGCTTCCCTCTTTGTTCAGGGCTTTGGAAAAGATGAGAAATTGGATCGGGAAGGCACTTAGGGTCTAGTAGGAGAAAGAAGTCTGTACATAACTGTTGCAATAGAAGAAGTGGACATGGCGGTAGCAAGAGAGTAGCCCCAGAAATGGTGGACACCAAGTGTGTGAACCCCTGGGCTTGCAGTCCTGACTGTCAGCTAAAGCCCCGCAGCCATCTCTTTAAGGACCAATTAGGAATTGGGCTGGAGTAAAGCATTTATGGAGTGAGAAATGCAGAAACTGAGGAACTTTCATCTCACAAGCGAAAGCTTTCCCCTCTAGGGAAAGGAAGAGTCTTAAATTTCAGAGTTCCTTCTTTGATAATTCGATGTGTCCAGCTAGGGCCTCACACAGGGATTTGTGTAGGCAGACGAGATACGGATGTACTGCTGACTGAAGCCAGACTTTCCCTTCTTGACAGTGAATTAGACAGCCTGACTGTCCTGTGGTCTGAACTGTTTTGAAGGTGCTGGGAATCCCCTGTGATTTAATCAGTAGGGATTAACTTGCTATATGAAGAATTTTGCTTTCCTATATCGGCTTGAAATCAACTGTCATCATAGCAAAAAGAATGAATTCTTTCAAAATTGGAAGTCATTCACTTCTTGGAAATTTTTGGCTTTATTTAGCAGCCTCAGAGTTCATGAAATATGTCCTTTGAGTTACTGACAATCTAACCCCAAAGTTGTAATTCTCTGTGGCCTGTGACAGCTGCAAAGCAAGCCTGAGAAGCGTGATCTGTGTGGCTCTTAGCACAGAAGGCTGCGTTATGCCAGTGATCGCTCCCCACAAGGACTTGTTCTTTCATCTTAGCAAGTCAGTCTGAGCAGTAATGTAGCCCTCTAACTAGCGGGAATGCATATCCACACCTTAGGGTTTTAGGACTTTTATCAACAGGGAGGAGGGTGGTATGTGCGTTGTTGTAGACTGGGGAAGAAAGGAGCAGCTCCGTGTGCCTTTCCACTTAGAAAGTGCAAAGTTGATGGGCCCTTTGCTTTTATTTCTTAGAGAGATCCCAAAGAGACAAAGTAGTTGGGACGAGGCTCCACTTATGGTTAATAGAAATTCTTTTGACAAGACTTTTAAGCCTGCATGCCCACGTTTTCTGTGAGCTGCTTTATTAAGAGAAGCACAACAGTTTTGCCTTGTTTCGTAGCTCACCCTATTAATTACTGCTCAAAGCTTCCCCTTGCTGAGCCTTGCCCTCTGTGCCAGACAGCATGTTAAGCTGCTGTATATATTCAGTCATGCATTGCTTAACAGCAGGAATATGTTCTGAGAAATGCATCATTAGTTTCATCACTGTGCAAACCTCATAGAGTGTGCCTGCTAGAACCTACTCCAGCTGTCCCCAACCTTTTTGGCACCAGGGACTGGTTTTGTGGAAGACAGTTTTTCCAGAGGTGGGGGTGGGGGTGGGAGTGCAGGGGATGGGGGTAGGGGATGGTTTCGAGATGAAACTGTTCTACCTCAGATCATCAGGCATTGGATTCTCAGAAGGAGTGTGCAACCTAGACCTCTCATATGAGCAGCTCACAACAGGGTTTGCCTATGAGACCTGACAGGAGGCGGAGCCCAGGCAGTCATGCTCACTCACTGCTGCTCACCTCGTGATATGCAGCCTGGTTGCTAACAGGCCATGGACTGTGGCCCAGGGGTTGGGGACCCCTGGCCTACTCTATTGTATGGCTCCATTATAATCTAGTGGAACCGCCTTGTACCGTGGCCCGTCATGGATGGAAACATGGTGATGTGGTGCATGACTGTGTAGCTCACGCCTGACACGCACGCATCATCCCATCCTCATGGCAGCACGTAACTGTGTAGCTCACGCCTGACACGCATGCCTCATCCCATCCTCATGGCAGCCATACGAGGTAGGTATTCCTATCCCTTCACATTGCAGGTAGGAGAACTGAGGCTAGAAGTTAAACAGCATACCCCATGGTGGAACCTGGACTCGAACCCGGGTCTGTCAGATACGGAGCCTGTGCCCTTGCCACTACACGAGGGTGCCCCATCTCAGTTAAGGGCAACATCAGCCGTGCAGTTGCTCAGACCAGAAAGTGACTGTCCCTTCACTCCTTTCATTCCCTCACCCTCGTTCTCACTCTCTCAGCAAAGCCTCCTGGCTCTGCCTCCTAACTGTGCCCCAAATCCGATGGACACTTTTTTCTATCGTCCATCACCAGCTTAGTCCAGTTCCCCATCAGCCCTTTCCTGGAACACTGGCTTAGTCCGGTTCCCATCAGCCCTTTCCTGGAGCACTGTAGCAGCCTCTTAAACTGGTTTGCCTGCTGTCATTATAATCCATTCCCCTACAGCAGTGGAATATTTTTAAAATCCAAATTAGATCACATCACTTCGCTGTTGAAAACTACCAGCGACTGCCCAATTGCAGTGAGAAGAAAACCGACCCTTACCATGGCCCACAAAAGGCTGCGTGATGGGGCTCCCGCCACCCCTCTTACCCCAGGCCCCCATCTTCCTTTCTGTCCCTGACTCACCAATATGATGCGACTCTTGCCACCCCTCTTACCCCAGGCCCCCATCTTCGTTTCCGTCCCTGACTCACCAATATGATGGGACTCCCGCCACCCCTCTTACCCCAGGCCCCCATCTTCCTTTCTGTCCCTGACTCACCAATATGATGGGACTCTCGCCACCCCTCTTACCCCAGGCCCCCATCTTTGTTTCCGTCCCTGACTCACCAATATGATGGGACTCCCGCCACCCCTCTTACCCCAGGCCCCCATCTTCCTTTCCATCCCTGATTCACCAATATGATGGGACTCCCGCCACCCCTCTTACCCCAGGCCCCCATCTTCCTTTCTGTCCCTCAGACTCACCATATGCTTTCCAGCGTCTCCACCGGGTCTCCCTGCTGAGAACACCCTTCCTTGGGTTTTGCCTGAGCAGTTCCTTCTTACTCAGCTCAGCCGTCATCTCCTCAGAGACCTTTTCTGATGACCCTGTGTGTAGAAGCACTTTCCCACCCTCATCCCCAGCTCATCCCACTCCCTGAGTTTTCTTCTCACCACTACAGTGCCGCCTCTCTAATCCATCTTCCTCACTTGCATCCCTGGTGCACCCAAGAGTGCCTGGAGCAGAGTGGATGCCCAGTACATCATTGTTGAGTGAGCGGCAGACACGTGCTGTTCCCTCCGCCCTCCACCCCTCATATATTTCACTCTGAGGCATCCTTCAGCTCTGGCTCAGACATCTTTTCTTTAGGGACGGCTGCGGCCCTCTGTTGCACGTTTCCATGACGACTGCTTTTCCTTCCTGGCCCTTCTCACTGTTTGTGTGACTGTTGGATTGAAGGCTGTCTCCCCCAGCAGACTCTAATCTCCATGAGGGCGGAGGCTGGCCTGTCTTTCTCACTGCTCTACTCCTAGGGCCAAGCATATCCCTTTGTTGAGTGGATGAGGGAAGGAATGAATCACTTTTCCTGTACTAACTTGGTCCACATGTGGAATGCATGTGCCACAAATGAGTGAGCTAGGAGCTCCTTGATGTCCACAACTCCCCTCATGTTAATAGAGGACGGGCATGGTGGCTCACGCCTGTAATTCTAGCACTTTGGGAGGCTGAGACAGATGGATTGCTTCAGGTCAGGAGTTTCAGACCAGCCCAGGCAACATGGCAAAATCCCATCTCTACAAAAAATACAAAAATTACTTGGGTGTGGTGATGTGCACCTGTAGTCCCAGCTACTCAGGAGGCTGAGGTTGGCCCATGCTCACTCTATCCCAGATGGTGACACTGAGCGAGTGGCCTGTGCTCACCTGCCTCAGATGGTGCCTGCTTCTTCAGGGCTGCCCGTTAGGTTCGACTTCTTCCTCCCCTCTCCGTTTTCTTGATGCTTTACACCGGCGAGAGTAGGTTCAACTTCTTCCTACCCTCTGCGTTTTCTTGATGCTTTACGCCAGCGAGAGTAGGCTCGACTTCTTCCTACCCTCTGCGTTTTCTTGATGCTTTACGCCAGTGAGAGTAGGTTTGACTTCTTCCTACCCTCTGCGTTTTCTTGATGCTTTATGCCAGCGAGAGCAGAGCCCGGGAACGTTCTCAGTCCACGTCACTGACATCTGCTGTTTGCCATGATTTCCAATAACACATTATGTTTTAAAAACGAGGCCCATCTTTATGTAATTGTGAGGTGCTGTTATCAACCCAATAGACTTAGCAATAGATGAGGGGCATTTAGTTCAAAAACTCAAATTCTGTGTCTGTCACTGAATGATTTTGATCAAAGCTTTTAACTTCAGTTAGCTGACTTGCTTTTCATATCTACAAAGGACCAAAAGACTTAGAATCATAGTGACTCAGCTCAACAGCATAATCCCAGAGCCCACTGTTAAGCCAGTGGAATCAGGAGTCTAATGCTATTACCTAATTTAATTTTTTTATGGTTGTTGAAGATTAAGCTTGGTAGATTCCCTTTATTACTATTCCTCTCTCTCTAAAATATCAGCAGCCCTTAAGAAGACAACTCAAGCTTAGAAATACTGCTTTCTAACAAGAGCTGTACATTTTTAAGGATTTTTTTTCTCTCATGTTAGGTAAAGAAGCCAAAGTTTGGAGTGTGCAAATGTGAAATACTTGCTTGGGTGTTAGACCATATTGTTTATCACCAGGATACCACAAAAACCATCATCTTACTACTGATTACCTCGAGCTAATGCCATCACCACAAGGCTTTGTCATGCACCGAGGCTGTATCTGTCCACATCACTTGCATCCAAGTGTTTTGGCCAAAAAATAAGCAGTTATTAAATGACTGTTAGCAGTATTGTCTTAAACCAAAAACCAGACGCAGGTGTAGTGCTTTTGTGCAATGTATTTATTTTATTGTATTTTATTTTTGAGACGGAGTCTCGCTTTGTCACCCAGGCTGGAGTGCAGTGGTGCCATCTTGGCTCACTGCAACCTCCACTTCCTGGATTCAAGCAATTCTTGTGCCTCAGCCTCCCAAGTAGCTGGGATTACAGGCGCCTACCACCACGCTGCTAATTTTGGTATTTTTAGTAGAGACAGGCTTTCACCATGTTGTTCAGGCTGGTCTTGAACTCCTGACCTCAAGTGATCCGCCGCCTCAGCCTCCCAAAGTGCTGGGATTCCAGGTGTGAGCCACTGCACCCGGCCTTTGTGTAAGTTTTGGTTTTATTTTTGTTTGTAATAGCTTCAGATGGTGTCCTGGCACTTGGCAAAGTTATTCACGCTATAGTCCATCTGCTGTCCCTTTTGGCTTAGAGATTAATTCAGATTGACCCACTGGTATTGGCTAAAATACCAAGTACATTTAGAAACTCCCTCTCCATTAACTTCTCGTCTCCAGAGAGCCATGCCTTGCCCCCTTCCCTCGTCCCCAGCACCAAGCAGTCCCTCTTTTCTGTTTGTCCAGTTGGCCTCCTTTCTGCTAAAGCCTTCAGCTCCCAGGCATAAACAACATCTCTAGGTGAAAACTGTAAAGGAATTCCAGAGAGCTGCCTTGATTCTGTAGTTGTACTGGAATTAACGTCATCAGTGACCCTTGTGTGTATCATGTGCTGCTTCTAGGGTTTCACATTTGATCCTCCAGATAGTCCTGTGACTACATCCTCATTCAGCAGATGAAGTTACTGAGGCTCAGAGAAGCTGGGTGATAGGGCCAGTGCCGCACGGTTGGAGCTACAGCTACCATGCCTCCTGCCTGCAGCCTTCCCACTGGCCCATGTTTCCACTCCGTGATGTATTTTGAAATAGTGGTCATATTTGGAAGCTGAGAAGTCGATTTTCTCAAGGAGATTTCTGTTGTGGTTGTTGTAATGGGGCTTACTTGGGAAGAGACATCTGTTAATCTAGAACACATGAGATTAGTTTTGTAGTTTGTTCTTGCGTTGAAATCCATCTGGCACTTTGATTCATTTCTATTTACTGAGGACCTGCTACATGCTAGGCACTGAGATAGGATGGGGAACAAGACAGACACAATCTCTGCCATCATGGAGGCCAGAAGGGAAAAGACAAATAATGGGCAATTGCTATATTTTAATAAATGCCTGGGTAGGAGACATGTAGCTTGGTTTGGGAACACGTGTCAGGGACATCTGACCCAAACCTGACAGATGGGAAAGGCTTCCCAGCAGAACGGAGTTCCGGTTTGAGGACTGAGGATGCGTGAGCGTTTTAGCCAGATTCGAGTTGGGGCGGGGTGGTCGGGGAGGTTGCAGGAAGAGGGAAAGCACTGTGAAGGCCCGGAGGCAAGAATGTGGTCTGGGTTGCCTCAGTTCTTCTTTATCAGATAGCGTGCATGACTTCCTTGTTGGAGACACCTAGAAAAAGCAGATCAATGGGGAAAGCTATTGAATATGCTCAGAAAACACTTCTCTTTCTCATATCTACCTAACAGAAAAAGCTTGAGTCTCCACCCCCATCTACCAATCCCTTCCTGGAAGATGAGCCAACACCAGAGATGGAGGAACTGGCAACGGAGAAAGGAGATTTAGATCAAGTAAGTCTGGTTTGCGTCACCACGGGTAACCTACCCAATGTGCGTTTCTGAAAATCGGTCTGCTTGCTCCAGATACGATCCTTTGGCTCTTGGCCACGTTCAGAGATGACAGCTGTTGTGGTCTTTACAGAAGGCCTTTATCTGAAAGTGCATGTAGAAAACTCCATGAAAGGGCAGACTTCCCTGCCCACATCTCTGCTCCTGAAGAGCCCCGCCTCCAGGACACACACAAGCTTCATTAGCCACTGTGGTGGGGCCAGGAGAGTTCTGCTCTGCCTCATTCAGCATCTCCTGAGCTTGTCAGCTGAGTTTTTGGTTTGACTGTCATCTGGTACAGTGATGATGAGAGAGGCTGAACAATCCCCGGGAAGCCAGCAGCACCCTCGGCTAGGAGAGGCCTCCATGCAGTGTAAGCTGATCACTTTAGGTCTGGAAGCCATTGGGGAGGCCTGGAAATGTCAAGGTGGCCAGTGGCATATTTGAAGAGTTACTTTTCAGAGCACACTAACACTTTAATTTCCTTTGGATTTTTCTGTCCAAGTCTAAATTTCCTCTCCCTTCATCCTACAGAATGGTGTTTTTGGTTAACTGCCATGTTATGACAAGGGAGGTTAGAGCAATAAATCAGAACGTTTCCCTTCTAGATTAGTGATCCCTGTTTTTAATTGTCTACACTTGGCTGCTGGAGGATTATTTTACGGTATTGTTTTGCTCCAGACACCACCAAAAGGGAGGCTGGCTGGGAGGACCAGCTCTGAGAAACCTGTAACCATGTACTTTGCAGCTAGCCCTGCATTCATTCTTTCCCAGCACCACAAGGGCAGGAGCCAAGAGAGCAGAGCTTCCAGGAGCAGTTCTGAAATGATGCAATCAAATGTGTCTGGTCCCTTGATTAAATGATTGTAATAGAATGGATACTCACACTTTTATAGTCCTTTGCACTTTTAAATTCTTTTACATGCTTTATGTTATCGTCACAATTCCTGCCTCTTGCTTTATAGGTGATGAAACTGCAGCTCAGAGAGGTTAAGTGGTTGGCCCAGGGTTGCACAGCTTGGAAGTGGAGGAGCTTAAACTGGAAGCCAGGTCTCAATGTCAGAAACTAGAATTCCTTTCCCAGTGCTATTTTGTTGATGGACTCATGTCTCATTGAAGAGTAGAGGACATAGAACTGAATCTCAGGAATAGAAGTAAATGAACAAAACTGATGGGACATCTTGAGGAGGCTCCATCCCGGAGATGTATTTATAGGATTAGATGCAGTTGATTTAAAGCCGTCATAGTATTGACTGGCATGGAAGAAAACAAACAGTTTCTTGTAACTAATTAAATGCAGTTCTCAATTGCATTTTGGGAGCAGGGACTAGGGTGGAAAGAAGGCTCTGGGTGTAGAGCCCATGCTTCTGGCATGTCCTCCACCCACACAGGGCCACCTCTGCCCTGTGAGCATGCTTTGCGCAGGAGAGCCATTTGCAGAGCCCTGATGTCTCACGAATGCTAGTAGCTGCCATGGTCATGTCCGAAATTGTGCAGTTAAACACTCAGATGCTTGCAGTGTTGCCAGGAAAAGTTATTCTTTTCGCTAGTCATCTCTGGATGTTATTAAATTGGATTAAGATAGGCCCCATTACCTACAAAATCAGTTTTGCCAGGTAAAATGTAATTTTCCTTTTTCTTGGAACTTTTTCCTCCTATGAAAGCTTGAAGTTACTGTTGTAAGGACCAAGACCTGCTCATTCTAAGAACACAGAACACTGACATCTGACCAGTACATGGGGTAAAGCAGAGTCAGGTGCTGGGAAAATGCTGGACTCTTGTCGGCCATTAACCGACTGACCATGTGACCTTCAGTAGGTTATTCTCTCTTTAGACTTCCCTAGCTTGTCTTTAGTGAGAGCTAATGGTTTTCAAACTGTATTCCTTGGTGCCCCATCAGATGTCACTGTGGAAGTTAGGAGGAGGCCAGAGACCTAGATCCCTGCGATCAGAGCAGTTTTATCGCAAGTCATTTTGTTTTTGTTTTTTTTTTTAATTTATTTATTTTTTATTGATAATTCTTGGGTGTTTCTCACAGAGGGGGATTTGGCAGGGTCATAGGACAATAGTGGAGGGAAGGTCAGCAGATAAACAAGTGAACAAAGGTCTCTGGTTTTCCTAGGCAGAGGACCCTGAGGCCTTCCGCAGTGTTTGTGTCCCTGGGTACTTGAGATTAGGGAGTGGTGATGACTCTTAACGAGCATGCTGCCTTCAAGCATCTGTTTAACAAAGCACATCTTGCACCGCCCTTAATCCATTTAACCCTGAGTGGACACAGCACATGTTTCAGAGAGCACAGGGTTGGGGGTAAGGTCACAGATCAACAGGATCCCAAGGCAGAAGAAGTTTTCTTAGTACAGAACAAAATGAAAAGTCTCCCATGTCTACTTCTCTCTACACAGACACGGCAACCATCCGATTTCTCAATCTTTTCCCCACCTTTCCCCACTTTCTATTCCACAAAGCCGCCATTGTCATCATGGCCCGTTCTCAATGAGCTGTTGGGTACACCTCCCAGACAGGGTGGTGGCCGGGCAGAGGGGCTCCTCACTTCCCAGTAGGGGCGGCCGGGCAGAGGCGCCCCTCACCTCCCGGGCGGGGCGGCTGGCCGGGCGGGGGGCTGACCCCCCCACCTCCCTCCCGGACGGGGCGGCTGGCCTGGCAGAGGGGCTCCTCACTTCCCAGTAGGGGTGGCTGGGCAGAGGCGCCCCTCACCTCCCGGATGGGGCGGCTGGCCGGGTTGGGGGCTGACCCCCCCCCCCACCTCCCTCCCGGACGGGGCGGCTGGCCTGGCAGAGGGGCTCCTCACTTCCCAGTAGGGGCGGCTGGGCAGAGGCGCCCCTCACCTCCCGGACGGGGCGGCTGGCCGGGCATGGGGCTGACCCCCCCACCTCCCTCCCGGACGGGGTGGCTGCCGGGCGGAGACGCTCCTCACTTCCCAGACGGGGTGGCTGCCGGGCAGAGAGGCTCCTCACTTCTCAGACGGGGCGGCTGCCGGGCGGAGGGGCTCCTCACTTCTCAGACGGGGCGGTTGCCGGGCAGAGGGTCTCCTCACTTCTCAGACGGGGCGGCCGGGCAGAAATGCTCCTCACCTCCCAGACCGGGTCGCGGCCGGGCAGAGGTGCTCCTCACATCCCAGACGGGGCGGCAGGGCAGAGGCGCTCCCCACATCTCAGACAATGGGCAGCCGGGCAGAGACGCTCCTCACTTCCTAGATGTGATGGCGGCCGGGAAGAGGTGCTCCTCACTTCCTAGGTGGGATGGCGGCCGGGCGGAGACGCTCCTCACTTTCCAGACTGGGCAGCCAGGCAGAGGGGCTCCTCACATCCCAGATGATGGGCGGCCAGGCAGAGACGCTTCTCACTTCCCAGACGGGGTGGTGGCCGGGCAGAGGCTGCAATCTCGGCACTTTGGGAGGCCAAGGCAGGCGGCTGGGAGGTGGAGGTTGTAGCGAGCTGAGATCACGCCCCTGCACTCCAGCCTGGGCACCATTGAGCACTGAGTGAACGAGACTCCGTCTGCAATCCCGGCACCTCGGGAGGCCGAGGCTGGCGGATCACTTGCGGTTAGGGGCTGGAGACCGGCCTGGCCAACCCAGCGAAACCCCGTCTCCACCAAAACCAGTCAGGTGTGGCGGCGCGAGCCTGCAATCGCAGGCACTCGGCAGGCTGAGTCAGGAGAATCAGGCAGGGAGGTTGCAGTGAGCCGAGATGGCAGCAGTACAGTCCAGCTTCGGCTCAGCATGAGAGGGAGACCGTGGAAAGAGAGGGAGAGGGAGACCGTGGGGAGAGGGAGAGGGAGAGGGAGAGCTGCAAGTCATTTTGTATTGTGGGCTTTCAGATGAAATTTTTTTTTGAACCAGAGGTTTTATGTAATTTAAAAAAAAAATGGCCGGGAATGGTGGCTCATGCCTGTAATCCCAGCACTTTGGGAGGCTGAGGCAGGCCGATCACCTGAGGTCAGGAGTTCAAAACCAGCCTGACCAACATGGTGAAACTATGTTGAAACCATACTAAACAACATGGTGAAACCATACTAAAAATACAAAATTAGCCGGGCGTGGTGGTGCATGCCTGTAATCCCAGCTACTCAGGAGGCTGAGGCAGGAGAATCGTGTGAACTTGGGAGGCGGAGGTTACAGTGAGCCGAGATCACGCCATTGCACTATAGCCTGGGTGACAGAGTGAGACTCCATCTCAAAAGAAACAACTAAACCCCCTAATCTAGCTGATCCACCCACCATTTCATGGGCTATTACTGATTAGTAATAACACTTACATGCCAGTGACTAATGCCTCCACCCACGCCATCCCTTACCTCCTGCTGCGTCACCAGCCCTGGCCTTGCTGGTGGCTGATTAGGTGGGCGCCCCAGGATCTCCCTCTTCCCAGAGTGGGGTGCACAACAAAAGCAGACCTCTTGGGGTGGGGGAGGGACCCCACCAGGTGTTAGTGGTGAAATCAGCCAGAGGTGGTTGGAGGGAAGGTCTCTGCCGGCTCTGTGGGTGACCTAACCCATTTCATGGCTGCAGTCAGTAGCCATGTGGCCCTCAAGGTAAGGGTCACACCCTGCTCACTACTGCAGTTTACGCCTCGCTGCTGAGAAGAGAGAGGGAACCTGAAAGAAGGTATTTCGTTTACAAGAGGGCCTGAGCAATCAGTTGCCAAGATATTCCCAATGATAAAAACTGACATCTGAAAGGAGCCTGAGGGACACTGAAAGCATAACAGAAAGGAGCAGAAATAAGGAATGTCCCTTCTGGTGATCCGAGCGGTTCGATTTAATCTGTTTACATTGGGTAGTAATGAAAGGAAGTGGGACCAGCTGCAGACCTCCTCACTGTGACAACAGTAACCTTTTATTATTCCACCAAACTCCAGGAGGAAATAGCTTAAACATCTTCAGCTTTTGGACAGAATTCACACACTCAGAACCCGGCCCAAACATTACTGCTAAATGACTTAGTGTAGTGTTTAAGCTGAGAATCAACCCTTTGGGCAGTTGCTTGGTGCAAAGGGAAATGCCAGTTAGCCAAAATTCCAGCACCTACTATCTAAACTGAGCACGTTCATAACGTAGCCATAGGCAGGAGGCAGCCCTGCAGGAAAAAAGTAAGAAAAAAGGAAACTTCAGGCAGTCTCTCCCATTATTCCTCTCTTGCTTCAGCTCACTAGAAGTGCTGCAAGAGGACCCGGGTGCTGTGGTGGCAGGGTCAAGGGTCCCTCCTCACTGCAGAAGAGTGCTGTTGGTGGGGAGGGCAGGGCAGGGCAGCGTCATCTGCAGATAGAGGTGGAACCCTGGCACTGCCTGGTCATGCAGCTTTCTGAGTGTCCTGTGGGGCCTCATCAAGGGCAGGACCTGTGGGACGTCATCAAGGGCAGGGCCTGTGGCAGACTGAACAAGATGAGTTCGTTGGAATTATGTAGCCATTTTCTTTACTCACTTGGAATCTGTATTTTATACCTAAGAGATGAGCTCTTCACACTTACTCCAACATAGTTTCTTTCAAATCATATATCACTTTTGTGCATACATAAAAAGGAAACTATAGGCAAAATAAATAAAGATATTTCTAAAACTTCTTCACATGCAGGTCCACATCTTCTGAACCACTTTTTAAAAAACTTTATATTTTGAAATAATTATGGGCTCATAAATTATAAACCTAGTACAGCGAGGTACAGTGTACTGATCTCCCAGCGTCCTCCAGGGGACAGCTAACATAGTAGAGTCCATCATCAAACCAGGAAATTGATCCAGACCCCTTCCCATCTCCCAGCTTCCTCCAGGGGGACACTAGAGTGCATCATCAAACGAGGAAATTGATCCAGACCCCTTCCCATCTCCCAGCTTCCTCCAGGGGGACACTAGAGTGCATCATCAAACGAGGAAATTGATCCAGACCCCTTCCCATCTCCCAGCTTCCTCCAGGGGGACACTAGAGTGCATCATCAAATCAGGAAATTGATCCAGACCCCTTCCCATCTCCCAGCTTCCTCCAGGGGGACACTAGAGTGCATCATCAAACCAGGAAATTGATCCAGACCCCTTCCCATCTCCCAGCTTCCTCCAGGGGGGGCACTAGAGTGCATCATCAAACCAGGAAATTGATCCAGACCCCTTCCCATCTCCCAGCTTCCTCCAGGGGGGACACTAGAGTGCATCATCAAACCAGGAAATTGATCCAGACCCCTTCCCATCTCCCAGCTTCCTCCGGGGGGGCACTAGAGTGCATCATCAAATCAGGAAATTGATCCAGACCCCTTCCCATCTCCCAGCTTCCTCGAGGGCAGGGCACTAGAGTGCATCATCAAACCAGGAAATTGATCCAGACCCCTTCCCATCTCCCAGCTTCCTCCAGGGGGGACACTAGAGTGCATCATCAAACCAGGAAATTGATCCAGACCCCTTCCCATCTCCCAGCTTCCTCCAGGGGGACACTAGAGTGCATCATCAAATCAGGAAATTGATCCAGACCCCTTCCCATCTCCCAGCTTCCTCCAGGGCAGGGCACTAGAGTGCATCATCAAACGAGGAAATTGATCCAGACCCCTTCCCATCTCCCAGCTTCCTCCAGGGGGACACTAGAGTGCATCATCAAACGAGGAAATTGGTCCAGACCCCTTCCCATCTCCCAGCTTCCTCCAGGGGGACACTAGAGTGCATCATCAAACGAGGAAATTGATCCAGACCCCTTCCCATCTCCCAGCTTCCTCCAGGGGGACACTAGAGTGCATCATCAAACCAGGAAATTGATCCAGACCCCTTCCCATCTCCCAGCTTCCTCCAGGGTGGGGCACTAGAGTGCATCATCAAACCAGGAAATTGATCCAGACCCCTTCCCATCTCCCAGCTTCCTCCAGGGGGACACTAGAGTGCATCATCAAATCAGGAAATTGATCCAGACCCCTTCCCATCTCCCAGCTTCCTCGAGGGCAGGGCACTAGAGTGCATCATCAAACCAGGAAATTGATCCAGACCCCTTCCCATCTCCCAGCTTCCTCCAGGGGGGACACTAGAGTGCATCATCAAACCAGGAAATTGATCCAGACCCCTTCCCATCTCCCAGCTTCCTCCAGGGGGACACTAGAGTGCATCATCAAATCAGGAAATTGATCCAGACCCCTTCCCATCTCCCAGCTTCCTCCAGGGCGGGGCACTAGAGTGCATCATCAAACGAGGAAATTGATCCAGACCCCTTCCCATCTCCCAGCTTCCTCCAGGGGGGACACTAGAGTGCATCATTAAACCAGGAAATTGATCCAGACCCCTTCCCATCTCCCAGCTTCCTCCAGGGGGGGCACTAGAGTGCATCATCAAACCAGGAAATTGATCCACACCCCTATTTCGCTGAGGCAGGAGTGCCTTTGCCTCCCACACAGTGTTGCCCTCCAGCCCATGCGGTGTTGACAATGTGCCATTCTTTATTTATTTATTTATTATTATACTTTAAGTTTTAGGGTACATGTGCACAATGTGCAGGTTAGTTACATATGTATACATGTGCCATGCTGGTGCGCTGCACCCACAAACTCGTCAGCTAGCATTAGGGCATTAGGTATATCTCCCAGTGCTATCCCTCCCCCCTCCTCCCACCCCACAACAGTCCCCAGAGTGTGATGTTCCCCTTCCTGTGTCCTTGTGTTCTCATTGTTCAATTCCCACCTGTGAGTGAGAATATGCGGTGTTTGGTTTTTTGTTCTTGCGATAGTTTACTGAGAATGATGATTTCCAATTTCATCCATGTCCCTACAAAGGACGCGAACTCATCATTTTTTATGGCTGTGTAGTATTCCATGGTGTATATGTGCCACATTTTCTTAATCCAGTCTATCATTGTTGGACATTTGGGTTGGTTCCAAGTCTTTGCTATCGTGAATAATGCTGCAATAAACATACGTGTGCATGTGTCTTTATAGCAGCATGATTTATAGTCCTTTGGGTATATACCCAGTAATGGGATTGCTGGGTCAAATGGTATTTCTAGTTCTAGATCCCTGAGGAATCGCCACACTGACTTCCACAATGGTTGAACTAGTTTACAGTCCCACCAACAGTGTAAAAGTGTTCCTGTTTCTCCACATCCTCTCCAGCACCGGTTGTTTCCTGACTTTTTAATGATCGCCATTCTAACTGGTGTGAAATGGTATCTCATCGTGGTTTTGATTTGCATTTCTCTGATGGCCAGTGATGGTGAGCATTTTTTCATGTGTTTTTTGGCTGCATAAATGTCTTCTTTTGAGAAGTGTCTGTTCATGTCCTTTGCCCACTTTTTGATGGGGCTGTTTGTTTTTTTCTTGTAAATTTGTTTGAGTTCATTGTAGATTCTGGATATTAGCCCTTTGTCAGATGAGTAGGTTGCGAAAATTTTCTCCCATTTTGTAGTTGCCTGTTCACTCTGATGGTAGTTTCTTTTGCTGTGCAGAAGCTCTTTAGTTTAATTAGATCCCATTGGTCAATTTTGTCTTTTGTTGCCATTGCTTTTGGTGTTTTAGACATGAAGTCCTTGCCCATGCCTATGTCCTGAATGGTAATGCCTAGGTTTTCTTCTAGGGTTTTTATGGTTTTAGGTCTAACGTTTAAGTCTTTAATCCATCTTGAATTGATTTTTGTATAAAGTGTAAGGAAGGGATCCAGTTTCAGCTTTCTACATATGGCTAGCCAGTTTTCCCAGCACCATTTATTAAATAGGGAATCCTTTCCCCATTTCTTGTTTTTCTCAGGTTTGTCAAAGATCAGATAGTTGTAGATATGCGGCATTATTTCTGAGGGCTCTGTTCTGTTCCATTGATCTATCCAGGAGAACTTCCCCAATCTAGCAAGGCAGGCCAACATTCAGATTCAGGAAATACAGAGAACGCCACAAAGATACTCCTCGAGAAGAGCAACACCAAGACACATAATTGTCAGATTCACCAAGGTTGAAATGAAGGAAAAAATGTCAGGGGCAGCCAGAGAGAAAGGTCGGGTTATCCTCAAAGGGAAGCCCATCAGACTAACAGCAGATCTCTCGGCAGAAACTCTACAAGCCAGAAGAGAGTGGTGGCCAATATTCAACATTCTTAAAAGAATTTTCAACCCAGAATTTGATATCCAGCCAAACTAAGCTTCATAAGTGAAGGAGAAATAAAATACTTCACAGACAGGCAACTGCTGAGAGATTTTGTCACCACCAGACCTGCCCTAAAAGAGCTCCTGAAGGAAGCGCTAAACATGGAAAGGAACAACCGGTACCAGCCACTGCAAAATCATGCCAAAATGTAAAGACCATCAAGACTACGAAGAAACTGCATCAACTAACGAGCAAAATCACCAGCTAACATCATAATGACAGGATCAAATTCACACATAACAATATTAACTTTAAATGTAAATGGACTAAATGCTCCAATTAAAAGACACAGACTGGCAAATTGGATAAAGAGTCAAGACCCATCAGTGTGCTGTATTCAGGAAACCCATCTCACGGGCAGAGACACCACATAGGCTCAAAATGAAAGGATGGAGGAAGATCTACCAAGCAAATGGAAAACAAAAAAAGGCAGGGGTTGCAATCCTAGTCTCTCATAAAACAGACTTTAAACCAACAAAGATCAAAAGAGACAAAGAAGGCCATTACTTAATGGTAAAGGGATCAATTCAACAAGAGCTAACTATCCTAAATATATATGCACCCAATACAGGAGCACCCAGATTCATAAAGCAAGTCCTGAGTGACCTACAAAGAGACTTAGACTCCCACACATTAATAATGGGAGACTTTAACACCCCACTGTCAACATTAGACAGATCAATGAGACAGAAAGTCAACAAGGATACTCAGGAATGGAACTCAGCTCTGCACCAAGCGGACCTAATAGACATCTACAGAACTCTCCACCCCAAATCAACTCTCCACCCCAAATCAACAGAATATACATTTTTTTCAGCACCACACCACATCTATTCCAAAATTGACCACATAGTTGGAAGTAAAGCTCTCCTCAGCAAATGTAAAAGAAATTATAACAAACTATCTCTCAGACCACAGTGCAATCAAACTAGAACTCTGGATTAAGAATCTCACTCAAAACCGCTCAACTACATGGAAACTGAACAACCTGCTCCTGAATGACTACTGGGTACATAACGAAATGAAGGCAGAAATAAAGATGTTCTTTGAAACCAACGAGAACAAAGACGCAACATACCAGAATCTCTGGGACACATTCAAAGCAGTGTGTAGAGGGAAATTTGTAGCACTAAATGCCCACAAGAGAAAGCAGGAAAGATCCAAAATTGACACCCTAACATCACAATTAAAAGAACTAGAAAAGCAAGAGCAAACACATTCAAAAGCTAGCAGAAGGCAAGAAATAACGAAAATCAGAGCAGAACTGAAGGAAATAGAGACACAAAAAACCCTTCAAAAAATTAACAAATCCAGGAGCTGGTTTTTTGAAAGGATCAACAAAATTGATAGACTGCTAGCAAGACTAATAAAGAAAAAAAGAGAGAAGAATCAAATAGATGCAATAAAAAATGACAAAGGGGATATCACCACCGATCCCACAGAAATACAAACTACCATCAGAGAATACTACAAACACCTCTATGCAAATAAACCAGAAAATCTAGAAGAAATGGATAAATTCCTCGACACATACACTCTCCCAAAACTAAACCAGGAAGAAGTTGAATCTCTGAATAGACCAATAACAGGAGCTGAAATTGTGGCAATAATCAATAGCTTACCAACGAAAAAGAGTCCAGGACCAGATGGATTCACAGCCAAATTCTACCAGAGGTACAAGGAGGAACTGGTACCATTCCTTCTGAAACTATTCCAATCAATAGAAAAAGAGGGAATCCTCTCTAACTCATTTTATGAGGCCAGCATCATCCTGATACCAAAGCCGGGCAGAGACACAACCAAAAAAGAGAATTTTAGACCAATATCCTTGATGAACATTGATGCAAAAATCCTCAATAAAATACTGGCAAACCAAATCCAGCAGCACATCAAAAAGCTTATCCACCATGATCAAGTGGGCTTCATCCCTGGGATGCAAGGCTGGTTCAATATACGCAAATCAATAAATGTAATCCAGCACATAAACAGAACCAAAGACAAAAACCACATGATTATCTCAATAGATGCAGAAAAGGCCTTTGACAAAATTCAACAACTC
The DNA here is from genome assembly GCF_000001405.40 of Homo sapiens. Classification (NCBI taxonomy): domain Eukaryota; kingdom Metazoa; phylum Chordata; class Mammalia; order Primates; family Hominidae; genus Homo; species Homo sapiens. The sequence goes on along the minus strand of NW_017363817.1, from coordinate 150,064 downwards.
TTCATGCTAAAAACTCTCAATAAATTAGGTATTGATGGGACGTATCTCAAAATCATAAGCGCTATCTATGACAAACCCACAGCCAATATCATACTGAATGGGCAAAAACTGGAAGCATTCCCTTTGAAAACTGGCACAAGACAGGGATGCCCTCTCTCACCACTCCTATTCAACATAGTGTTGGAAGTTCTGGCCAGGGCAATTAGGCAGGAGAAGGAAATAAAGGGTATTCAGTTAGGAGAAGAGGAAGTCAAATTGTCCCTGTTTGCAGACGACATGATTGTATATCTAGAAAACCCCATTATCTCAGCCCAAAATCTCCTTAAGCTGATAAGCAACTTCAGCAAAGTCTCAGGATACAAAATCAATGTACAAAAATCACGAGCATTCTTATACACCAACAACAGACAAACAGAGAGCCAAATCATGAGTGAACTCCCATTCACAATTGCTTCAAAGAGAATAAAATACCTAGGAATCCAACTTACAAGGGATGTGAAGGTCCTCTTCAAGGAGAACTACGAACCACTGCTCAGTGAAATAAAAGAGGATACAAACAAATGGGAGAACATTCCATTCTCATGAGTAGGAAGAATCAATATCGTGAAAATGGCCATACTGCCCAAGGTAATTTACAGATTCAATGCCATCCCCATCAAGCTACCAATGACTTTCTTCACAGAATTGGAAAAAACTACTTTAAAGTTCATATGGAACCAAAAAAGAGCCCACATCGCCAAGTCAATCCTGAGCCAAAAGAACAAAGCTGGAGGCATCACACTACCTGACTTCAAACTATACTACAAGGCTACAGTAACCAAAACAGCATGGTACTGGTACCAAAACAAGAGATATAGATCAATGGGACAATATGCCATTCTTAAGATGGCTCCATTGAGGTCTCTGGAATTTTCCACCAGGCCACTGTACCCATTTTCCAAGTTTTCTGACGTTATCCTTTACTTTTTTTCTTTTTAAAATAATGTCAAACTAAGAGAAAAGTTACAAGGAGCTCCTAAATATCTTTCTTCTGGATTCAGCAATTGTTAACATTTTGCTATATAACTTTATTATTTCCTCCCCACTCCCCCCCGACCTTTAGAACAATTTGTAAGTTGTAGACATAATGTCCTTTACCCCTAAATATTTTAGTATATATTTCTTAAGAAAAAGGGCATTCAATTCTATTACCATAGATCAAAATCAGAAAATTTAACATCCATACAGTAATCTATAATATATAGGCTTTTAAAGATTTTCATAATGTAGCCATTTTAAAGTGATAAAATATTGTCAGTAGTTGGGAAAGTACACATAAATTAGTAAGTCAGTAAAGCTGAATACAAAATATACATGTTCAAAATTTAAAAAAAAAGCAAAATATACACGTTGATTTTTTTAAATGTTAACATTCTGTATTATGTAAATTCACATGTATAATTACCAGAAGTTATCCTGCAGAGTGTGAATATTTTCTTCAAAAGAAGAAAAAAATTAAATAAAAAGAATAGCTATAATACTTATCATTATTATTTAATTAATAAAAAGATATCTGTTTGTAGTAGCCATGTTTTCCAAATCTGAATCCATGATATCTAGTCCTATAGAGTTAGACAAATTAAATCACATTTTTCTATTCACTTAAGTCATCTTATTGAATCAATAATAAAAGATACTGACTTGGAATAAACAGGACAAGTGGGTGAGGACACCCCTCACAATCCTCATCCTCCATCATAGATCCTTCATCTTAAACTAATGGAAATGCAGAAAAACTCCCAGGACATCTGTGCACTCAAGTGGAATTCTAGATCCGGCAGATTCAAGCTCAATCAGCCAGGCTTGTGTGGTTGTGGGCTCAGTCCAAGGCCTGGCTTTGGCAGTGACTTCCAGATGATAAGAGTAAAAACAGTGCAGATTGTATTTATTCTTAGGAAGGACCAAAGTTTCTAGAAACCTTGCCAAAAAATGAAAGACATGGAACTCCTGAAAGGTAAAAAGGGAAGAGGGTTAAGTACAAGATTGAGTAGATGTGTCTAAAGTTGACATTTAATTTTTAGTGATCATTTTTTACAAATCAGTTTTTACAGATGTTTTTAACCATTGCAACGTGTTATTTAAAAAAAAATTTTTTTAAAGGCCAGAAATAGGTAGTTATCATTTCTGTCATTAGGGCTTATCTCTTCCAGTATTTATTAAAATATATAAGCAGTTCAAGAGGGTAGATCTTATGTTAAGTATTCTTTTTTGTTTGTTTGTTTGTTTGTTTTTGAAATGGAGTCTCACTCTGTCGCCAGGCTGGAGTACAGTGGTGCAATCTCGGCTCACTGCCATCTCCACCTCCTGGGTTCAAGCAATTTTTCTACCTCAGCCTCTCAAGTAGCTGGGACTACAGGCGCACACCACCACAACCTGCTAATTTTTGTATTTTTTTAGTAGAGACAGGGTTTCACCATATTGGCCATGCTGGTCTTGAACTCCTGACCTTGTGATCCGCCCACCTTGGCCTCCCAAAGTGCTGGGATTACAGGCGTGAGCCACCGTGCCCAGCAAGCATTCTTACCACAAGTAATAATAATCGTAACAACAGGGGTGGGAGGAGGCTTGGGGAGGTGGTGGATACACTTACTGCCTTGATGGTGGTGAGGGCTTTGTGGGTGTGTACTTATCCTCAAACGCATCAAGATGTATACATTAATTATGTAGGGCTTTTAAAATGTCAATCATACCTCAATAAAGTGGGTTTTTAAAAAATAAGATATGAGTAGTTCAATTTAACAAGTATGTTGTGGGTGCCAATTTACATGCAAATTATGATTTAGTATCAACCCCAGCATGGTGTGTTTGGCTCAGGGTCATTTTGTAGACATTTGGCAATAGACAGAATTCACATTTGTTAGGAATAGAAGTAATACATAGGAAAATCTTTGCTTATTTTTTAGATGTTTGGAAAGGAATTAAGTGGCAAATATTGTTTTAAAATACTTGCCTGTCATATGACTTCTTTATCAGTGGCTTCCAAGTAACAGCCTGGGAACCAGCGCTCATCTAGTGTTGCAGTGGCCTAAAGCAAAAAATAAAGACAATATAGTCTGCCTGCCTGCCTGCCTGTCTCTCTCTCTATCTATCTGATGTAAGGTTACCAACTGTCCTTTCTTAGAAAGTACTGCCTATATGCTGCTATTTTATTCTTATAAAATTTGGGGGTATAAAATACAATTTTCTGGCTGGGCGCCATGCCTCATGCCTATAAGCCCAGCACTTTGGGAGGTAGAGGTGGGTGGATCACTTGAGGCCAAGAGTTCGAGACTAGCCTGGCCAACATGGCAAAACCCCACCTCTACTTAAAATACAAAAATTAGCTCGGTGTGGTGGCGTGTGCCTATAGTCCCAGCTACTTAGGAGGCTGAGACACAAGAATCACTTGAGTCCAGAAGGTGCAGGTTGCAGTGAGCTGAGATGGCGCCACTGCACTTTAGCCTGGGTGACAGAGGGAGACTCTGTCTCAAAAAGCAAACAAAAAAACCCTTTATTTGTTTTTTTTTTAGGAACTCGTGGTAAGAATAGAAAGTAGCAAAATAAAGTTAACAATCCTCTATTGGTTGTCCATTCTTCTTTTTCTTACATTTTCTTACTGATGGAATTCAAAAAATTCTGGGAACCATTGCAGGAAAATAATGGTATAACAGAAAGAGTTCTAGTTTAAGAAAAGCAGACGTCTACATATGTGTTGGGGCAGGTTAGAGAACCTCTGAGTCCTCATTTCTTGAGGTGTAAAATAGTAGTAGTCATACCTACATGAAGGATTATTGTGAGGAGCAGGTGACATATTAGTTGGTATCAAAGTGCTATCAAAAATTGGATTGTGTGAAAGCACTTTTTAAATTCTAAAGCACTGTGTAAATACAAGGTGCTATTATTAGCTGGGATTTAAATTCTGGAAAACACCAGTCAGATAGATGATGACTTGCTTCCAGATTCAAAACACATATGTTATCCAGGTAGCAGTATGTCTTTCATCGTCCAGAGCAAGTGAGTTATGCTAACAAAGCTGGTTTTTCTTCACCTGCCAGGGTGAATGGTGAAACCATCGTATTGGGTTACATTGAGTACTCTCTTATCTGTGACTTAGGAATGAACTTTGAAATGATGTTTTTAAAAAAATTCTTGAACATTTGCAAAGATCACTCAAGTATGGGGTTTATTTTTCTTTGTTTTTACAGCCAAAGAAGCCTAAAGCCCCAGACAATCCATTTCATGGCATTGTTTCCAAGTGTTTTGAGCCTCATCTCTACGTGTATATCGAATCCCAAGACAAGTGAGTGAGGAACATTCGCTGTTTTCTGCCTGCATTTCTCGCCGCTCTGGTCATGACTGGGTCTTAGGAGCGCACAGCTCCTTCCGGGGCTGAAAGATGGTTGTGGCATGCCTGTGACCCTCCCTAGAAACCCATTAGGGGTATTTTTACATCTTTTGAATGTTATCATTAATTGTGTCTATAAATCTCAGAGCCTGAGTTTGCCCCTAATAAGGTCCCCAGTGGATCCCTACATTGGGATCCCTTCCTATGTGGGTGTTGAGCCCTGACATATATCAGCCCACAAAGCTTTACAGTGTCAGGCACTGGGTATTGGAAGAAAGCCTAGTCTCTAATATATATGTTTTCAAGTATAATTTATCCTTTTATTTTGAAATAATTTAGACTTATAAAAAAGTTACAAAAATAGGACAAAAAATTTTCACATGCCCTCCTCAGAGAATGTTAACATCTTACATAACAACCAGAGTTACCAAAATCGAGAAGGTAATACTGTCCCATTAATGCCCCTTTTTCTGGTCCAGGACCCAATAATCATGCATTTCGTTGTCAGATCTCTTTGATCTTGGTCTCCTTTAATCTTGAGTAGTTCCTCATCTTTTTATTCCCTCCCCTCCCCTCCTTTTTTGAGACAGAGTCTCACGCTGTCCCCCAGGCTGGGGTGCAGTGGTGAGATTATGACTTACTGCATCCTCCATCTCCTGGGCTCAAGCAATCCTCCCACTGCAGTCTCCCAAGTAGCTGGGACCACAGGCACATGCCACCCTCTATTTTTAGTAGAGATTCTGTCTCCCTGTGTTGCCCAGGCTGGTCTGGAACTCCTGGGCTCAAATGATCCACCCACTTGAGCCTCCCAAAGTGCTGGAATTACAGGCATGAGCCACCTTGCCCAGCCATTCCTCAAGTTTTCTTTGTCTTTCACGACCTCAGTGTGTACTGGCCAGGTATTTTGTACAATGTCCTCAGTTTTTGTTTGTTTTTTCTTGATGAAATCAATTTTGGGCAAGAACACCATAAAAGTGGCATTGTATCCCCAGTGCATTGTGTCAAGAGGCACATCACATTGATTTGTCCCATTATTGGGGACTTCGATTACTTGCTTTAGGTGGTACCTGCCAACTGTCTTCAATGTGAAGTTACTATTTTTCTCCTGGTAATTAATAAGTATCTTATGGGATGATACTTTGTAAATATCCTGCTCTCATCAAACTTTTGCCCACTCATTTCGCATCCCTTGATTGATTCCTGACGGAAGCGTTGTTTCTGTGGCATTTGCCAAATGTCGATTGTCTATTTTCATCATTTCTTCTACATTTACTAATTGGAGTTCTACTATATGGAAGAATTTTCCCTCTCCCCTATTTGTTTATATATCAGTATGAACTCATGGATTCTGATTTTATTTTATGGATCATCTATATAATACAGTATATGCTTTTCACGTGGCCAGGTACAGTGGGTCACACCTGTAATCCCAGCACTTTGGGAGGCCAAGGTAGGAGGAGCTCTTGAGCCCAGGATTCAAGACCAGCCTGGGCAACATGCTGAAACCTCATCTTTATAAATAATTTTTTTAAAAAAACTAGTCAGGTGTGGTGATGCACACCTGTAGTCCCAGCTACTCGAGAGGCTGAGGTGGGAAAATCACTGGAGCCCAGGAGGCAGAGGCTGCAATTAGCCGTCACTATGCCACCCAGCTTGGTGACAGAGACTTCGTCTCAAAAGAAAAAAAGAAAAGAAAAGCAAACAAAATATACTATATGCTTTTCACAAACTTGTAGCCTCCAAATATTTTTATAAAGCATCTCACTGCGGCCAGGTTTCTTCCCTCCCACCCTGTTTTTAAAAAAATCCCAAAGACTTCCAAACTAACAGCCGAAGACTGTGTTCGTGCTCCAGTGTCCGTTGTGTGCGTGAGGGGGCATTAGAAAAGGAGGAAGACTCCTCCTCATCCCTGCGTCCTTGTCCGCAGCCAAGCCCTTCCACGTTGGAAGGCAGGTTTTGGAAAGGTCAAGATGATTGTAACGAGATGACTGGAGACAGACTGGCCTGGGCTCCCAGAGGAAGCCTCACAGTCTAAAGAACGCACTCGGAAGGGACCAGAAGGTGGCTCCCATGGGGAGAGCAACAGCGGCTGCAGGAAAGTCCTGAGGGAAGTTCTTCAGGAACACACTGAGGTTCTGAGGGAAGATCTCTGGAAACACATTGGGTTCTGAGGGAGCTTCTTGGGGAATGCATTAGGTACTGAGGGAAGTTATCTGGGAACATATTAGGTCCTGAGGGAGGTTCCCTGGGAACGCATTAGGTACTGAGGGAAGTTCTCTGGGAATGCATTGAGGTTCTGAGGGAGGTTCCCTGGGAACGCATGAGGTCCTGATGGAGGTTCTCTGGGAACGCATTGAGGTTCTGAGGGAAGTTCTCTGGGAACGCATTGAGGTTCTGAAGGAGGTTCTCTGGGAATGCATTGAGGTCCTGAGGGAAGTTCTCTGGGAACACATTAGATTCTGAGGGAGGTTCTATGGGAACCCATTAGGTTCTGAGGGAGATTCTCTGGGAACGCATTTGGTTCAGAAGGGAGTTCTCTGGGAACGCATTGAGGTCCTGAGTGAGGTTCTCCGGGAACACATTAGGTTCTGAGGGAGGTTCTTTGGGAACGCATTCAGGTTCTGAGGGAGGTTATCTGGGAATGCATTAGGTTCTGATGGAAGTTCCCTGGGAACGCATTAGGTTCTGAGGAAAGTTCTCTGGGAATGTATTGAAGTTCTGAGGGAGGTTCTCTGGGAACGCATTAGGTCCTGAGGAAGGTTCTCTGGGAACGCATTGAGGTTCTGAGAGAGGTCTCTGGGAATGCATTAGGTCCTGGGGGAAGTTCTCTGGGAACGCATTAGGTCGTGAGGGAAGGTCTCTGGGAACGCATTGAGGTTCTGAGGGAGGTTCTGTGGGAATGCATTATGTCCTCAGGGAGGTTCTCTGGGAACACACTGAGGTTCTGAGGGAGGTTCTCTGGGAATGCACTGAGGTTCCGAAGGAGGTTCTCTGGGAACTCACTGAGGTTCTGAGGGAGGTTCTCTGGGAACATATTAGGTTCTGAGGGAAGTTCTTTGGGAACGCATTAGGTTCTGAGGGAGATTCTCTGGGAACGCATTGAGGTCCTGAGGGAAGTTCTTTGGGAACGCATTAGGTTGTGAGGGAAGTTCTGTGGGAACGCATTAGGTTCTGAGGGAGGTTCTCTGCTAATGCACTGAGGTTCTGAGGGAGGTTCTCTGGGAACACTTTAGATTCTGAGGGAAGTTCTCTAGGAACGCATTAGGTTCTAAGGGAGGTTCTCTGGAAACACATTAGGTCCTGAGGGAGGTTCTCTGGGAACGCATTAGGTCCTGAGGGAAGTTCTCTGGGAACGCATTAGGTCCTGAGGGAAGTTCTCTGGGAACACATTAGGTTCTGAGGGAAGTCCTCTGAGAATGCATGGAGATTCTGAGGGAGGTTCTCTGGAAACGCATTAGGTTCTAAGAGAAGTTCTCTGGGAACGCATTGAGATTCTGAGGGAGGTTATCTCGGAACGCATTAGGTTCTGAGGGAGGTTCTCTGGGAACGCATTGGGTTCTAAGGGAGGTTCTCTGGGAACACGTTAGGGTCTGAGGGAGTTTCTCTGGGACTGCGTTGAGGTTCTGAGGGAAGTTCCCTGGGAACACATTAGCGTCTGAAGGAGGTTCTCTGGGAACGCATTGAGCTTCTGTGGAGGTTCTCTGGGAACACATTGGGTCCTGAGTGATGTTCTCTGGGAATGCACTAGGTTCTGAGGGAGGTTCTTTGGGAATGCATTAGATGATGAGGGAAGTTCTGTGGGAACGCATTGAGGTCCTGAGGGAGGTTCTCTGGGAACGCACTGGGTTGTGAGGGAGGTTCTCTGGGGACACATTGGGTTCTGAGGGAGGTTCTCTGGGAATGCATTAGGTCCTCAGGGAGGTTCTCTGGGAACACACTGAGGTTTTGAGGGAGGTTCTCAGAATGCACTGAGGTTCTGAGGGAGGTTCTCTGGGAACACATTAGGTTCTGAGTGATGTTCTCTGGGATGCATTAGGTTCTGAGGGAGGTTCTCTGGGAACACATTAGGTTCTGAGGGAAGTTCTCCTGGAACTCATTAGTTCCTGAGGGATGTTTTCTGGGAACGCATTAGGTTTGAAGGCAGGTTCTCTGGGATTGCACTGAGGTTCTGAGGGAGGTTCTCTGGGAATGCATTAGATTCTGAGGGAGGTTCTCTGGGAACGCATTAGGTTCTGAAGGAGGTTCTCTGGGAACACATTAGGTTCTGAGGGAGGGTCTCTGGGAACACATTGAGGTCCTCAGGGAGGTTATCTGGGAATGCACTGAGGTTCCAAGGGAGGTTGTCTGCGAATGTACTGAGGTTCTGAGGGAGGTTCTCTGGGAACGCATTGAGGTCCTAAGGGAAGTTCTCTGGGAACGCAGTAGGTTCTGAGGGAATTTCTGTGGGAACGCATTAGATTCTGAGGGAGGATCTCTGGGAACGCATTTAAGTTCTGAGGAAAGTTCTCTAGGAACGCATTAGGTTCTGAGGAAGGTTTTCCGGGGATGCATTAGGTTCTGAGGGAAGTCCTCTGTGAATGCATTACGTCCTTAGGGAGGTTCTCTGGGAACGCATTAGGTTCTGAGGGAAGTTCTCTGGGAATGCCTTAGGTTCTGAGGGAAGTTCTCTGGGAATGCATTCAGGTTCTGAGGGAGGTTCTCTGGGAACGCAGTAGGTTGTGTGGGAGCTTCTTTGGGAACGCATTATGTTCTGAGGGAGATTCTCAGGGAATGCATTAGGTTTTGAGGGAAGTTCTCTGGGAATGCATTAGGTTCTGAGGAAGGTCCTCTGTGACCTCAGGGTTCTCAGGGAGGTTCTCTGGGAACGAATTAGGTTCTTAGGGAAGTTCTCTGGGAACCCATTAGGTTCTGAGAGGGGTTCTCTGGGAACGCATTGAGGTCCTGAGGGAGGTTCTCTGGAAACGAATTGAGATCCTGAGGGAAGTTCTCTGGGAACGCATCAGGTCCTGAGTGAAGATCTGTGGGAATGCATTAGGTTCTGAGGGAGGTTCTCTGCGAACGCACTAGCTTTTAAGGGAGGTTCTCTGGAAACGCATTAGGTCCTGAGGGAGGTTCTCTGGGAATGCATTAGGTCCTGAGGGAAGTTCTCTGGGAACACATTAGGTCTTGAGTGAAGTCCTGTGGGAACGCATTAGGTTGTGAGGGAAGGTCTCTGGGAATGCATTAAGTTCTGAGGGAGGTTATCTGGGAACGCATTAGGTTCTGTGGGAGGTTCTCTGGGTACCCATTAGGTCTTGAGGGAGGGTCTCTGGGAACGCGTAGAGGTCTTGATCTCTGCGAATGCGTTGAGGTTCTGAGGGAGGTTCTCTTGGAATGCATTAGGTTCTGAGGGAGGTTCTCTTGGAATGCATTAGGTTCTGAGGGAGGTTCTCTGGGAACGCATTGAGGTCCTAAGGGAAGTTCTCTGGTAATGCATCAGGTTCTGAGGGAATTTCTCTGCGAACGCATTAGATTCTGAGGGAGGATCTCTGGGAACGCATTAGGTTCTGAGGGAAGTTCTCTAGGAACGCATTCTGTCCTGAGGGAGGTTCTCTGGGAACACATTAGGTTCTGAGGGAGGTTCCCTGGGAACACATTAGGTCCTGAGGGAGGTTCTCTGGCAATGCACTGAGGTTCTGAGGGAGGTTCTCTGGGAAGGAATTAGGTTCTGAGGGAAGTTCTCTGGGAATGCATTAGGTTCTGAGGGAGGTTCTCTGGGAACGCATTAGGTTCTGAGGGAGGATCTCTGGGAACACCTTAGGTCCTGAGGGAGGATCTCTGGGAACAGATTGAGGTCCTGAGGGAAGTTCTCTGGGAATTCACTGAGATTGTGAGGGAGGTTCTCTGGAAACGCACTGAGGTTCTGAGGGAGGTTCTCTGGGAACGCATTAGGTTCTGAGGGAATTTCTCTGGGAACGCATTAAATTCTGAGGGAGGATCTCTGGGAACGCATTAGTTTCTGAGGGAAGTTGTCTGGGAATGCATTAGGTTTTGAGGGAGCTTCTCTGGGAAGGAATTAGGTTCTGAGGGAGGTTCTCTGGGAACACATTAGGTTCTGAGGGAGGTTCTCTGGGAACGCATTAGGTTCTGAGGGATGTTCTCTGGGACCGCATTAGGTCCTGAGGGAGGTTTTCTGGTAATGCACTGAGGTTCTGAGGGAGGTTCTCTGGGACCGCATTAGGTCCTGAGGGAGGTTTTCTGGTAACCCACTGAGATTCTGTTGGGGGTTCTCTGGGAATGCATTAGATTCTGAGGGATGTTCTCTGGGACCACATTAGGTCCTGACGGTGGTTCTCTGGTAATGCACTGAGGTTCTGAGGGAGGTTCTCTGGCAAGGAATTAGGTTATGAGGGAGGTTCCCTGGGAACGCATTAGGTCCTGAGGGTGGTTCTCTGTTAATGCACTCAGGTTCTGACGGAGGTTCTCTGGGAAGGAATTAGGTTCTGAGGGAGGTTCTCTGAGAACGCATTAGGTCCTGAGGGTGGTTCTCTGGTAATGCACTGAGGTTCTGAGGGAGGTTCTCTGGGAAGGAATTAGGTTCTGAGGGAAGTTCTCTCGGAATGCATTAGGTTCTGAGGGAGGTTCTCTGGGAACACATTAGGTCATGAGGGAGGATCTCTGAGAACACATTGAGGTCCTGAGGGAAGTTCTCTGGGAATGCACTGAGATTGTGAGGGAGGTTCTCTGGAAACGCACTGAGGTTCTGAGGGAAGTTCTGTGGGAACGCATTAGGTTCTGAGGGATGTTCTCTGGGACCACATTAGGTCCTGAGGGTGGTTCTCCGGTAATGCACTGAGATTCTGAGGGAGGTTCTCTGGGAAGGCATTAGGTTCTGAGGGAATTTCTCTGGGAACGCATTAAATTCTGAGGGAGGATCTCTGGGAACGCATTAGGTTCTGAGGGAAGTTCTCTAGGAATACATTAGGTTCTGAGGGAGGTTCTCTGGGAACGCATTAGGTTCTGAGGGAGGTTCTCTGGGAACGCATTAGGTTCTGAGGGAGATTCTCTGGGAACGCATTAGGTTCTGAGGGAGGTTCTCTGGGAACGCATTAGGTTCTGAGGGATGTTCTCTGGGACCGCATTAGGTCCTGAGGAAGGTTCTCTGGTAATGCACTGAGGTTCTGAGGGAGGTTCTCTGGGACCGCATTAGGTCCTGAGGGAGGTTTTCTGGTAACCCACTGAGATTCTGTTGGGGGTTCTCTGGGAACGCATTAGGTTCTGAGGGAGGATCTTTGGGAACGCCTTAGGTTCTGAAGGAAGTTCTCTACAAACGCATTCCATTCTGAGGGAGGTTCTCTGGGAACGCATTAGGTTCTGAGGGATGTTCTCTGGGACCGCATTAGGTCCTGCGGGAGGTTTTCTGGTAATGCACTGAGATTCTGTTGGGGGTTCTCTAGGAACGCATTAGGTTCTGAGGGATGTTCTCTGGGATCGCATTAGGTTCTGAGGGAGGTTCTCTGGTAATTGACTGAGGTTCTGAGGGAGGTTCTCTGGGAAGGAATTAGGTTCTCAGGGAAGTTGTCTGGGAATGCATTGGCTTCTGAGGGAGCTTCTCTGGAAACGCACTGAGGTTCTGAGGGAGGTTCTCTGGGAACGCACTGAGGTTCTGAGGGAATTTCTCTGGGAACGCATTAAATTCTGAGGGAGGATCTCTGGGAACGCATTAGGTTCTGAGGGAAGTTCTCTAGGAATGCATTAGGTTCTGAGAGAGGTTCTCTGGGAAGGAATTAGGTTCTGAGGGAAGTTGTCTGGGAATGCATTACGTTCTGAGGGAGCTTCTCTGGAAACGCACTGAGGTTCTGAGGGAGGTTCTCTAGGAACGCATTAGGTTCTGAGAGAATTTCTCTGGGAACGCATTAAATTCTGAGGGAGCATCTCTGGGAACGCATTAGGTTCTGAGAGAATTTCTCTGGGAACGCATTAAATTCTGAGGGAGGATCTCTGGGAACGCATCAGGTTCTGAGGGATGTTCTCTAGGAATGCATTAGATTCTGAGGGAGATTCTTTGGGAACGCATTAGGTTCTGAGGGAATTTCTCTGGGAAAGAATTACCTGCTTAGGAAGGTTTTCTGGTAATGCAGTGAGGTTCTGAGGGAGGTTGCCTGGGAACGCATTAGGTTCTGAGGGAGGTTCTCTGAAAACGCATTGAGGTCCTAAGGGAAGTTCTTTGGGAACGCATTATGTTCTGAGGGAATTTCTCTGTGAGTGTGTTAGATTCTGAAGGAGGATCTTTGGGAACGCATTAGGTCCTGAGGGAGGATCTTTGGGAACGCATTAGGTTCTGAGGGATGTTCTCTGGGACCACATTAGGTCCTGAGGGTGGTTCTCTGGTAATGCACTGAGATTCTGAGGGAGGTTCTCTGGGAATGCATTAGGTTCTGAGGGAATTTCTCTGGGAACGCATTAAATTCTGAGGGAGGATCTCTGGGAACGCATTAGGTTCTGGGGGAAGTTCTCTGGGAATGAATTACGTGCTTAGGAAGGTTCTCTGGTAATGCACTGAGGTTCTGAGGGAGGTTGCCTCGAAATGCATTACTTTGTGAGGGAGATTCTCTGGGAACGCATTGAGGTCCTAAAGGAAGTTCTTTGGGAATGCATTAGGTTCTGAGGGAGTTTCTCTGCGAACGTATTAGATTCTGAGGGAGGATCTCTGGGAACGCATTAGGTTCTGAGGGATGTTCTCTGGGACCGCATTAGGTCCTGACGGAGGTTTTCTGGTAATGCACTGAGATTCTGTTGGGGGTTCTCTGGGAACGCATTAGGTTCTGAGGGAGGCTCTGTGGTAACGCATTAGGTTTGGAGGGATGTTCTCTGGGAACGCATTGAGGTCCTGAGGGAGGTTCTGTGGTAACTCATTGAGGTTCTGTGGGAGATTCTCTAGGAATGCATTGTGGTTCTGAGGGAGGTTCTCTGGGAACTCACTGAGTTCTGACAGAGGTTCTCTGGGAAAGATTAGGTTCTGAGGGAGGTTCTCTGGGAACGCATTGACGTCCTGAGGGAAGTTCTCTGGAAATGCATTAGGTTCTGAAGGAGGTTTTCTGGGAAAGCATTAGGTCTGAGGGAAGTTCTTTGGGAACACATTAGGTTCTGAGGGAGGTTCTCTGGGAATGCTTTAGGTTCTCTGAGAGGTTCTCTGGGAACGCACTAGATCCTGAGCGAGGTTTCTGGGAATGCATTGAGGTCCTGAGGGAGGTTCTCTGCTAAGTCATTGAGGTTCTGAGGGAGGTTCTCTAGGAAAGCATTGAGGTTCTGAGGGAGGTTTTCTGGGAACGCATTAGGTTCTGAGGGAGGTTCTCTGTGAACGCTTTAGGTTCTGAGGGAGGTTCTCTGGGAATGCACTGAGGTTCTGAGGGAGGTTCTCTGGGCACATATTGGGTTCTGAGGGAGGTTCTCTGGAAATGCACTGAGGTTCTGAGGGAGGTTCTCTGGGCACGTATTGGGTTCTGAGGGAGGTTCTGTGGGAACGCATGGAGGTCCTGAGGGAGGTTCTCTGGGAATGCATTAGGTTCTGAAGAAATTTTTCTGGGAACGCATTAGATTCTGAGGGAGGATCTTTGGGACCACATTAGGTTCTGTGGGAAGTTCTCTGGGAATGCATTGAGGTCTGTGGGAGGTTCTCTGGGAACGCATTAGGTGCTGGAGGAGGTTCTGTGGGAATGCATTAGCTCCTGAGGGAGGTTCTCTGGGAACACATTAGGTGCTGAGGGAGATTCTCTGGGAATGCATTAGGTTCTGAGGTATGTTTTCTGGGAATGCATTGAGGTTCTGAGGGAGGTTCTCTGGCAATGCATTAGGTTCTGAGGGAGATTCTCTGGGAATGCATTAGGTCCTGAGGGAGGTTGTCTGGGAAAGCGTTAGGTTCTGAGGGAAGTTCTTTGGGAATGCATTGAGGTTCTCAGGGAAGTTATCTGAGAACGCATTAGGTTATGAGGCAGATTGTCTGGGAACACATTAGGTTCTGAGAGAGGTTCTCTGGGAACCATTTAGGTTTGAGGGAGGTTCTCTGTGAACACATTAGGTTCTGAGGGAGGTTCTTTGGAAACTCATTAGGTTCTGAGGGAGGTTCTCTGGGAACACATTGAGGTTCTGGGGTGGTTTTTCGGAACTCATTTGGTCCTGAGTGAAGTTCTCTGAGAACGCGTTAGGTTGTGAGGGAGGTTTTCTGGGAACGCATTAGGTTCTGAGGGAGGTTCTCTGCGAATGCATTAGGTTCTGAGTGAAGTTCTCTGGGAACACATTTAGGTCCTAAGGGAATTTCTCTGGGAACGCATTAGGGTCTCAGGGAGGTTCGCTGCGAATGCATTAGGTTCTGAGGGAAGTTCTCTGGGAACGCATTAGGTTCTGAGAGTTTTCTAGGAACGCATTAGGTCCTGAGGGAAGTCTTCTGGGACCGCATTAGGTTCTGAGGGAAGGTCTCTGGGACGCACTAGGTCCTGAGGGAGGTTCTCTGGGAAAGCATTAGATTCTGGGGGAGGTTCTCTGGGAACGCATTGAGGTTCTGAGGGAGGTTCCCTGGAACACATTAGATCCTGAGGGAATTTCTCTGGGAATGCATTAGGTTCTGAGGGAAGTTCTCTGGGAATGCATTGAGGTTCTGAGGAAGGTTCTCTGGGAACGCATTAGGTTCTGAGGGAGATTCTCTGGGAACACATTAGGTTCTGAGGGACATTCTCTGGGAACGCATTGAGGTTCTGAGGGAAGTTCTCTGGGAACGCGTTAGGTTCTGAGGGAAGTTCTCTGGGAACGTATTAGGTTTTTAGGGAGGCTCTCTGGGGTTGCATTTACGCATTTAGGTCTGATTGCACTTCACCCCTCCCCTTGTTTTTAATGCTTCTATCATGGGTGAGCACATTCTTAGTTTCAAACATGTTTCTTAAACCGTAACAGTAAGACAATGTTTCAATTAGAAACTTCACATGGAACTGTATTATTCACTCACGTGATTTTATGGACTGCTTCTATGCTTTTCATGCCCGATTACAAAGTACTTCATATTAAAATCTCAGAAAATGAACTTGCCCAGTAGCTTCTCCATCATCAAATGGAAGTCTCCCCATCAGCCCACCACCAAAGGCAAGTTGCCTTGCCGTCATTTGCCTTGCAAAGACCCAGTAGTGCCCTTGCTCTTGCCCAGTGGGCACGTGCCCAGCAGGCACACCGAGGTACAGTGGGGACTTCTGCCTCTTTGTCCTTGAGAGCACCCTGTCTTCTACATTCACAGTTTGCCTCCAGGAAGTTACTAAGACACCCCTGAGGGGCAGGAAAAAGGATTGGTTATTTGCCTATTAGAGTCACAGGTCTTTGAGGAACCCCCCTGGATGACTCTTTTCAGCCAAAGCCCCATCTTCTCTTAACCCAAATTTTTCGTTTTAAAAGGCTTAAAAGTTACTGGGTCCAGGGTTTATTTTTATTTATTTATTTTTGAGACGGGGTCTCAGTGTCAGCTAAGATGGAGTACAGAGGCGTGATCAGGACTCACTGTAGCCTCAACCTCCTGGGTTTCAGCAGTCTTTCCTACTCAGCCTCTCAAGTAGCTGAGACTACAGGCACACACCACCACACCTGGCTAATTTTTGTATTTTTTGTAGAGACGCAGTTTTGCCATGTTGCCCAGGCTGGTCTCGAACTCCTGGGCTTAAGAGGTCAGCCCACCTCCACCTCCCAAAGTGCTGGGATTACAGGCATGAGCCACCGCGCCCAGCCAAGGCCCAGGGTTTAAAGCACATGTCTGAGGTAGCCACATCCTTTCCCAAAACCTACCTGGTTTAAAGGGTCATTTTTCTGAGTTATTGTAATTCTGGCATCCACTCTTTTCACATGGCCTTGATTTATACAAAGTATACTCATTGTTCATGATACTTTGGGCAAGGAGCCAGGCCTCCCTTCCTTGGGGACTCTCCATTTTCCTGTGAAAAATGAAGTGCTGGCCACTTACCCTGCTGTTTGGCCTCACTAGGAAGTTTCCGCAGCACTAAGGAAGGAGCAGATACTGCGCAGGCTGTGCTGCTGTTCCTGCAGAATAAACACTGTAACTCAAAGTAGAAAATAGAGTTCAAAGAACTCCATTTCCTTATCTGTCAAGAGAGATAGTCAGACAAAATAATGCCCAACGCACTCGTTATTAACCATTTTAAAGTCATAGATCCTTTTTAAGAACCCAATGGAAAGCATCGACGCTCTTGTCAAAAAAATCCATATCATGCACACACTATTTTGAGTGTAATTTCAAGGAGTTCTAGGAACTGCTTCTTCCCTTCAAAGAATCCTGAGGCTGGAGAAGGAACTCAGGTGGGGACTGGTTTTGTGCACATTACTACTTTTGCTGTAGCTCTAACTCAGAAAGCATGAGACCATTCATAACTTCCCAGATGACAGAGACGCAACACAGTGTGGTGGAAAGAGCGTGGGCCTGATCCCAGACATACCTAGATGTGAGGCTTCGCGCTTGCTAGGCTGGGACCTTGAGCATGCTCCTAGCTAGCCCCTCTACACTGTGAGGATCATAAGGCCGACCTCATGGACTTTGTGGCGAGGAGGAGAAGAGGTGGCATTTTCACCTTCAGCACACAGTAAATGGTGCTCAGGAACAGTGCCTGCCCTGCCATCCCTCTCATCTTTTTCAGGACTCCTATGTGGGTGGGTGGCCTTGTCAGTGTGGCCAGATTTCTCTTGAGCCTGGCATGGGGTCCACCTTCTCATCTCCCCAGCCTCCCACCTGCCAAGGGAAAGTTCCGGCAGCATCTGCCCCAGCCAAAAGCCAAGTAGCAGTAGGAGGACTGCAGAGCCAGTACTCAGGGAGGAGGCAGGAAGTGGGGATGGCCACTAGCAGGTTGGGCTAAGCCGTCCTTACATCCTTTAAATGGCTTTCTCAATTTTTATTTATGTTCAAAGAGGAGGTTAGTCTGTCTTCTACCCTTGGCATTTAGTGATTTCCTCTGGCTGACTCTTGCAAAAGAAATTTCTACATAGGCACTTTCTTTACCCCATTCTATGGCGTTCTCCATCAGGGAAGTTACTGGTGACTCCATATCTGCCCATTCTCCTGAGTTCCCTCTAATAACTTTTGTTAGACTAGAACTCATGCTTTTCTAGAGCCTAGCATCTGTCTGTAAACTAATTACCATTGTTGATTATTTTATTTTATTTTTATTTTTATTTTTATTGATCATTCTTGGGTGTTTCTCACAGAGGGGGATTTGGCAGGGTCATAGGACAATAGTGGAGGGAAGGTCAGCAGATAAACAAGTGAACAAAGGTCTCTGGTTTTCCTAGGCAGAGGACCCTGAGGCCTTCCGCAGTGTTTGTGTCCCTGGGTACTTGAGATTAGGGAGTGGTGATGACTCTTAACGAGCATGCTGCCTTCAAGCATCTGTTTAACAAAGCACATCTTGCACTGCCCTTAATCCATTTAACCCTGAGTGGTCACAGCACATGCTTCAGAGAGCACAGGGTTGGGGGTAAGGTCACAGATCAACAGGATCCCAAGGCAGAAGAATTTTTCTTGGTACAGAACAAAATGAAAAGTTTCCCATGTCTACTTCTTTCCACACAGACACGGCAACCATCCGATTTCTCAATCTTTTCCCCACCTTTCCCGCCTTTCTATTCCACAAAACCGCCATTGTCATCATGGCCCGTTCTCAATAAGCTCTTGGGCACACGTCCCAGACGCGCTGGGCAGAGGGGCTCCTCACTTCCCAGTAGGGGCGGCCGGGCAGAGGCGCCCCTCACCTCCCGGATGGGGCGGCTGGCCGGGCGGGGGGCTGACCCCCCCACCTCCCTCCCGGACGGGGTGGCTGCCCGGCGGAGACGCTCCTCACTTCTCAGACGGGGCGGCTGCCGGGCGGAGGGGCTCCTCACTTCTCAGACGGGGCGGTTGCCGGGCAGAGGGTCTCCTCCCTTCTCAGATGGGGCGGCTGGGCAGAGACGCTCCTCACCTCCCAGACGGGGTCGCGGCCGGGCAGAGGCGCTCCTCACATCCCAGACGGGGCGGCGGGGCAAAGGCGCTCCCCACATCTCAGACGATGGGCGGCCGGGCAGAGACGCTCCTCACTTCCTAGATGGGATGGCGGCCGGGAAGAGGCGCTCCTCACTTCCTAGATGGGATGGGGGCCGGGCAGAGACGCTCCTCACTTTCCGGACTGGGCAGCCAGGCAGAGGGGCTCCTCACATCCCAGACGATGGGCGGCCAGGCAGAGACGCTCCTCACTTCCTAGACGGGGTGGCGGCCGGGCAGAGGCTGCACTCTGGGCACTTTGGGAGGCCAAGGCAGGCGGCTGGGAGGTGGAGGTTGTAGCGAGCCGAGATCACGCCCCTGCACTCCAGCCTGGGCACCATTGAGCACTGAGTGAACCAGACACCGTCTGCAATCCCGGCACCTCGGGAGGCCGAGGCTGGCGGATCACTCGCGGTTAGGAGCTGGAGACCAGCCCGGCCAACACAGCGAAACCCCGTCTCCACCAAAAAAATACGAAAACCAGTCAGGCATGGCAGCGCGCGCCTGCAATCGCAGGCACTCGGCAGGCTGAGGCAGGAGAATCAGGCAGGGAGGTTGCAGTGAGCCAAGATGGCAGCAGCACAGTCCAGCTTCGGCTCGGCATCAGAGGGAGACCGTGGAAAGAGAGGGAGAGGGAGACCGTGGGGAGAGGGAGACCGTAGGGAGAGGGAGAGGGAGACTGTAGGGAGAGGGAGAGGGAGAAGGAGAGGGAGAGGGAGAGCCCATTGTTGTTTATTTTGAATTAATTTCAAGCTTACAGAAGAATTATAAGAATTATACAAAGAGCCCTTGTATAGCCTTCATCCAGATTCCTCATTAATAGTTATCTCCCCCACACACGTAATGCACAGACACTGCATGCATTTTCCTTTTCTTTTTTCTCTTCCTTCTTTTTCTTTTTCTCTCTTTCCCTTTCTCTTCTCCCTCCCCTCCCCACCCCTCCCCTCCCTTCCTCTCCCTTCCCCTCCTCCTACTTCAGCCTCTAGAGTAACTGAGACTACAGGCACAGGCCATCACATCAGTCTAATTTTTGTTTTTTTGTAGAGACAGGGTCTCACCATGTTGCTCGGGCTGGTCTCAAACTCCTGGGCTCAAGTGATCTGCTGGCCTCCCAAAGTGTTGAGATTACAGACGTGAACCACTGTGCCCAACCTGTACTTTTTTCCTGAACCTTTGAATTCTCAAGTTGCAGACAAGATTCGCCACTACTCCTTAATACTTCAATATATATTTCTTAGAAACAAGGTTTCTACATAACCACAGTACAACTGTCCACATCAGGAAATTAACGTTGATACAACATTACTGCTTAATCCCAGACCCCTCACATAACCACAGTACAGCTATCAACATCAGGGAATTCACAGTGATACAGTATTACTGCTTCATCCATGCTCTCCTCCTCACATTTCAGCAGTTGTCCCAATCTGCTTGTTTGTTGGCCTGTTTGAATAGCCCTAGGATCACAGGTTGTTAGTTTATTTGTTTGAATAGCTCTCAGATCGCAGGTTGTTTGTTTGTTTAAATAGCTCTAGGATCACAGGTTGCATTTAGTTGTCATGTCTCTTTGGTCTCCTTCAACCCAGAAGACTAATTGAGTCTTTCTTTGTCTTTCATGACCTTGACATTTTTGAAGAGGATTGGCCAATTACTTTCTGGAATTTCCCTCAGTTTGGGTTTGTCTGATGTTTCCTCATTATTTATGATTTATGCAGAAGTGGTCCTGTGTTCCTAGGAATTCATATCAGGAGGCACAGAATGCCAGTTTATCCCAAAACTTGTGATGTGATGTTCTTTTTTTTTTTTTTTTTTTTTTTGAGACAGAGTCGTTTCACTCTATTCCCCAGGCTGGAGTGCAGTGGTGCGATCTCCACTCACTGCAACCTCCACCTCCTGGGCTCAAGCAATTCTCCTGCCTCAGCCTCCTGAGTAGCTGGGATTACAGGTACCCGCCACTGCACCCAGCTAATTTTTGTCTTTTTTTTAGTAGAGACAGGGTTTTGCCATGTTGGTCAGGATGGTCTTGAACTCCTGACTTCAGGTGATCCACCCGCCTTGGCCTCCCAAAGTGCTGAGATTACAGGCGTGAGCTACCACGGCCAGCCTATGATGTTCGTTTTTATTACTTGGTGTAGATGTTGTCTCTACTGGGTATCTCTATTTATTAATAAGTGTTGGGAGAAACCTTGAAACTTTATCAATATCCTTTTCCTCATCTTTCACTTATCATGTAATTTATTACTAAGATGATTGACAATGATGATTTTTCTTCTTTTTTTTTTTTTTGAGGCAGAGTCTTGCTCTGTCGCCCAGGCTGGAGTGCAGTGACATAATCTCGGCTCCTGGGTTCAAGTGATTCTCCTGCCTCAGCCTCCCAAGTAGCTGGGATTATAGATGCTCGCCACCATGCCCAGCTAATTTTTTTGTATTTTTAGTAGAGACGGGGTTTCACCATGTTGGCCAGGCTGGTTTGGAACTCCTGACCTCAAGTGATCTGCCCACCTCGGCCTCCCTAGATGTTGAGATTACAGGCATGAGCTGCCGCGCCCAGTCAAATGGTGATTTTTCTAGCTACATCATTTCTTCTGCGTTTATCAGTTGGCATTCTACTTTAAGAAAAGCTGTCACTTCTCCCCCTTATGTCTATGTCAGCATGGACTCATGGATTTTTATATTTTATTCAGTAGGTTGTAGGCATCACTATCTCTTTTATTTTTACTGTATTTTGGAATAAATGTATACCTATAGGAAAATTTCACAAATAGTACAGATTTCTTATGTTCCCCTTCACCCAACTTCCCCTGATGTTGACATCTTATATAACCACAGCAGAGTTGTCAAAACTGGCAAGTTAACATTGGTACATTACTATTTAATAACCTGCACACCGTGTTTGAACTTCACCAGTTTTTCCATTAGTGTCTGTTTTTCCTTCCAGGATTTGTCGTTGTTATTTTAGTACTCAAATTGTCCCTGACTTGGCCAGTGGGAGCCTCTTAAAGCTGGCTCTTCATCCTTTTTACATGCCACTATCATTTTTTGAGCACCTCCTTCCTCTCTGGCACAATAAAATATACTAGGCTTATCCTGTACTTTTGTATCCCAGCCCTGGAGTCGTCCATTTCCCCAGGCATTTCTTGTTCCTTTGGTGGAGGATGACATTTAGAAACCAAGTATGCTCATTGCTGCTCGGTGTCATTGCTTCCAGATTGCCTTGGCTGAGAGAGCTAAGAAATGTATGTGTGTATAAACATACGTGTATATGTCTCTATAGCTGTGTGTGCACCTGCTTCTACATATATGCCTCTATAGCTGTGTGTGCACCTGCTTCTATATTAGAACCTGTGCATTTGATGCTGATGCCTTCAATTCTAATCTCACACCACAGGGTTTATTTTAGCCTCTCCCATTCAACGTTGGCAACTGCCTTCTACAACAGTGAGAAATTTGGGTCCTAGCATGCTCAGTATATTTACCTATTTGCTCAGTTTGCCTGTATGTAACCCATCTCCCAGCTGTGCTCAAGCCACACCTTGGCTCCCCAGCCCCACTGGCCACACCAGAGCAACATCCTCAGCCCCAGCAAAAAGGAAGAGGAAGGGATGCAAATTAGTGGGAGTACCCTTGAATTAAGAAGCTCTAGGGTCGGGCATGGTTGCTCGTGCCTGTAATCCCAGCACCCTGGGAGGCTGAGGCAGGTGGATGGCTTGAGCTCAGGAGTTCGAGACCAGCCTGGGTGACATGACAAAACCCTGTCTCTACAAAAAAAAGCCCACAAAAATTAACCAGGTGTGGTGGTGTGCACCTGTAGTCCCAGCTACTCAGGAGGCTGGGGTGGGAGGATTGCTGGAGCCTGGGAGGCAGAAGTTGCAGTAAGCTGTGGTCATGCCACTGCACTCCAGCCTGGGTGACCCTGTCTCAAAAAAATAAAAAAATAAATAAATAAGTTATCTAACTTAATGGGGATCTTCAGCTGCCTTGACCTTGCTCACCTGCGTTGCCATCTTCTGGCTACTGTCTTTCTCTCCCTGTGCCTCACTGCTTGACATTCCAATTAGAATATTGTTTCTGTGAATGCTGACTGCAGGCCCACCAGAGAAATGGCCTTGGCCATCCATGGATAAACCCAGTCTGCAATGGCATATTTTTTCTCCTCACTTTAGTTTTTCCCTCTACTGATACCACTCTGCAACTGTCTTCATTCCTAGGGCATGTAATTTATCAGTGGAACTCCCAGCAGTATTTCGGGAAGGAGGTATTTCCTTCCTTCTCCCTTCCCCTCCCCTCCCCTCCCCTCCCCTTCGACAATGTCTTGCTCTGTTGTCCAGGCTGGAGTGCAGTGGTGGCATTATAGCTCACTGTAACCTCAAACTCCTGGGCTCAAATGATCGTCCTCCCTCAGCCTCCCAAGTAACTGTAACTACAAGCACACACCACCATGCCTAACTAATTTGTTTATTTTTTTTTAGAGATAGGGATCTTACTTTGTTGCCCACACTATTCTCAAACTCCTGGCCTCCTCCTAGCCATGCATGGTGATGGACGCCTGTAGTCCCAGCTACTTGGGAGGCTGAGGCAGGAGAATTGCTTGAGCCTGGGAGGTTGAGGCTGCAGTGAGCCATGATCATGCCACTGCACTTTGTCCTGGGTGACAAAGCAATACTCTGTCTCAAAAAAAAAAAAAAGAAATGTGATCAGATTGGATCATGTATTCAAAACTAATGAGCCTTACGCATTCCCATTGGGGTAACTTACATTCTTCTGTTCTGTGAAATACTGGCTACTGATTTTCTAATGTCTCATGTGGCATCAAAGCATGCTGATGCAGGGTGAAAGATGGAAGGCAGGGGAAGGTTTCCCCAACTGGTTTATTTCTCATCCACTTGAAAGAACAATGTCAGAAGTAACCGAGTAGACATCCTGTAGACATTCTACAAAGTATAGATCTTTAGAGCTTTTTGAAGTGAACATTTTCTTTATGCTGTATGATCATAATTAGTTTATAATCTTACTCATTGGGGTGGCTCTGAAATAGGAAGCAAGTAAGTAAGTATCCATCTTCTAGGGGAACAGGTGAGTGATGAAAATAGAATCACATCAGAGTTGGCTGGCGCGTTGGCTCACGCCTGGAAGCACATCAGAGTCGGCTGGGCGCAGTGGCTCACGCCTGTAATCCCAGCACTTTGGGAGGCTGAGGCGGGCGATCACTAGGTCAGGAGTTCAAGACCAGCCTGGCCAAGATGGTGAAACCCCATCTCTACTAAAAAAAAAAGCAAAAATTAGCCGGTTGTGGTGGTGTGTGCCGGTAGTCCCAGCTACTCAGGAAGCTGAGGCAGTAGAATCACTTGAACCCGGGAGGCAGAGGTTGCAGTGAGCTGAGATCAAACCACTGCACTCCAGCCTGGACAACTGAGTGAGACTCCGTCTCCAAAAAAAGCAAAAAACAAAAACAAAAAAAAACAAAAAAAACACCCATGTCAGAGCTCTGGTCCCTGATTTGGTTGGCACTATCAATTTAGAGATTAGAATCTCATAAGAAGACCCCAGGGGAATCTTTTGCCTTCTGTTCCATGTTCTCCTCCACTGCACCGGCCTCCATCCCGTTTCCACCTTCCCACCCTCCATTCCCATCCCCTAGGAACAAAGTGTGGAGGTTGATCAGGTAAGTATGTATCGAGCACTAGCATGAAGCTTCACTCCACTCATTGGCATGACGGGCGGGCCGGGGGCAGCAGAACCAGCATAAACGTCATTCCTCCTCTCAGGGAGCTTGTGTTAACAGGCACGAAACAGATGATTCTACCTCCTTCGCCTTTTGTACCAACTTCAGTTGATAGAGGTGACTGGCTGGAGTGCTGTCTCAAGAAGGATTCTGGAATCACAAGAGAGATCAGTGAAGAAAGGGCTCCTTGTTGATTAGCATTGCCTACCGTGGCCCAGGATGGGAGAAGATAGGTTATTTCTTTCTTTTTTTTTTTTTTTTTTTGAGACGGAGTCTCGCTCTGTCGCCCAGGCTGGAGTGCAGTGGCGGGATCTCGGCTCACTGCAAGCTCCGCCTCCCGGGTTCACGCCATTCTCCTGCCTCAGCCTCCCAAGTAGCTGGGACTACAGGCGCCCGCCACTACGCCTGGCTAATTTTTTTGTATTTTTAGTAGAGACGGGGTTTCACCGTTTTAGCCGGGATGGTCTCGATCTCCTGACCTCGTGATCCGCCCGCCTCGGCCTCCCAAAGTGCTGGGATTACAGGCGTGAGCCACCGCGCCCGGCCGGTTATTTCTTGAATATATGGCATCCTCGCACTGTCTAATAAAGTGTTAAATAAAGTGTTGGTGGGTGGCAGATGACAGAAGTTGCAGCTGCTGCGGGTGAGACCTGGATGAGCTTGAAAGGGGAGTGGACAGGTGGTGGGAGAGCGTTTTGGCCAGGACGTCACACAGGCCCAGTGACCGGGAGTAGGCCAGCAGGGGAGCCGTTGCGAGGCCCACTGACCGGGAGTAGGCCAGCAGGGGAGCTGTTGCGAGGAACCTCTGGCTGGAGTGTTGGGTCAGCTGTGGAGGAGAGGTGGGAGATTCAGTGGGAAAGTGAGGCAAGAGAGGTTATGAGGAACAAGAGTGGTGGCCATGAAGCTTTCCGAGGTCAACCAACGAGATCCTTCCCTGCTTTCTCACTATCACCACAGACAGAGACTTAGCCTAGGCCAGAAGCTCTTTGAGGGCAGAGTGGTTGTATCTGGATATAATAGACTTTCTTTTTCTTTTCTTTCTTTTTTTTTTTTTTTTTTTTTTTGAGATGGGGTTTCGCTCTTGTTGCCCAGGCTGTAGTGCAATGGTACGATCTCGGCTCACTGCAACTTCCGCCTCCCAGGTTCAAGTGATTCTCCTACCTCAGCCTCCCGAGTAGCTGGGATTACAGGCACCCGCCACCACGCCTGGCTAATTTTTTGTGTTTTTAGTGAAGACGGGGTTTCTCTATGTTGGTCAGGCTGGTCTCAAACTCCCGACCACAGGTGATCCACCCGCCCCGGCTTCCCAAAGTGCTGGGATTACAGGTGTGAGCCCCCACGTTGGGCCTATAATAGACTTTCAATAACAAAAGCCTTTGAGTAAAATGTCAATTTTCTCCTATTCCTGCTAATTGGTGGTATGTGTGGTTCTTGTCTTTTTCTTCCTTACCATTATATAAATACATTTTTAAAACACAGCTGGATTCCTATAGCCTTAAACGGCAACCTAAAAAGATGCAACATGTCAGGAGTGGTGGGAACCCTTCCCATTCTTCACACAGCACAGCTGTGCAGGCAGCAGTTACTGCAGCTCTGCTGGATCCTCACAGGTGATGACACAATTCAACGGAACAATTACAGGGATGTTTGAATGGGAAATCGGAGAAAAATTGCAACTCTCATCCCCACTGTGGCCTGAGGCAAGTCTGGAGCTGCTCATACCCTGTTTTGGTTTTTGTTTTTTTTTTCCAGATATCAAGTCTTGCTCTGTTGCCCAGGCTGGAATGCAGTGGTGTGAGCTGGGCTCACAGCAACCTCCGCCTCCTGAGTTCAAGTGATTCTCTGCCTCAGGTCTCAGCCTTCCAAGTAGCTGGGATTACAGGCATGCGCCACCACCCCCAGCTAATTTTTTTTTTTTTTTTTTTTCTGAGACAGAGTCTCACTTTGTTGCCCAGGCTGGAGGGCAGTGGTGCAGTCTCAGCTCACTGCAAGCTCCGCCTCCCGGGTTCATGCCATTCTCCTGCCTCAGCCTCTGAAGTAGCTGGGACTACGGGCACCCGCCATCATGCCCGGCTAATTTTTTTTTTGTATTTTTAGTAGAGACGGGGTTTCAACGTGTTAGGATGGTCTTGATCTCCTGACCTTGTGATCCGCCTGCCTTGGCCTCCCAAAGTGCTGGGATTACAGGCATGAGCCACTGTGCCTGGCCCACACCACGCTAATTTTTGTATTTTTAGTAGAGACGGGGTTTTGCCATGTTGGCCAGGCTGGTCTCGAACTCCTGGCCTCAAGTGATCCGCCGCCTGGGCCTCCCAAAGTGTTGGGATTACAGGCATGAGCCACCGCACCCGGCCCACACCCGGCTAATTTTTGTATTTTTAGTAGAGACGGGGTTTTGCCATGTTGGCCAGGCTGGTCTCGAACTCCTGTCCTCAAGTGATCTGCCCGCCTCGGCCTCCCACAGTGCTGGGATTACAGGCTTGAGCCACCACACTCTGCCCGTACCCTCTCTTTTCCTAAGATTTTTTTAAACCTTTGATTCTGGAAGTTCTAAGAAAAAACTAAATCGGAGGAGAAAGAAACCATTATAACACATTTCACAGTTTCTCTTTGTTTAGGCATCTGTCTCTTGGGCACATTTAGGTTCGTGATGTCTAAATATGTGCTGACATCATAACCTTTTTGTTTTTAGGAAGTAGAGTGCTTAAAGGCTTGAAGCTTAGAGCCAGGCTGCTTAGTTTTTAATCGTGGCTCTCCTGTTTTCTTGCTGTATTACTCTGGACAAGGTACTCAACTTTTCTGTACTTAACTCTTTGAAAATGAGGATAGTAATAATACATACTATGTAAGTTTATTGTAAAAAGTAAATGAGCTGGGCGCAGTGAGTGGCTCACACCTGTAATCCCAGCACTTTGGGAGGCCAAGGTGGGTGGATCACCTGAGGTCAGGATGTCGAGACCAGCCTGGGCAACATGGTGAAACCCTGTCTCTACTGAAAATAAAAGTTAGCTGGGCATGGTGGCGTGTGCCTGTAGTCCCAGCTACATGGGAGGCTGACGCAGGAGAATTGCTTGAACCCTGAAGATGGAGGTTGCAGTGGGCCAAGATCATGCCGCTGCACTCCAGCCTGGGCCAACAGAGCAAGACTCTGTCTCAAAAAAAAAAAAAAAAAAAAAAAAAGGAAATGAAGTTCAGTGAGATGGGTATAAAGCATGGACATAATACCTGGTGCATCTCAAGTGTTCAGAAAACGATCACTATCATGATTTAGGGTTTTCCTTTTTGGAGGGGTAAACAGTACTAATATGATAGAAGGATTAGTTTCTTACTTTAGTATTGGAGTCTAGGCTCAGCTCTGCCACAGACTTTGTGAGAAACTTTCTAGGACTTAATTTTCTCATCTTTTAGCGGGACCAGTAATACCCTATCTTGCTTACAGGGGTTTGGAGTCCAATATGATAATGAAATGCCTTGAAAAGTATAAAGCACAAATGTCAATCGACTTAGAGATTAGAATCTCATATGTCAGATTTTATTACTGCTGTTGTAGGAGTGGTGGTGGTAGTGAATGATGATATTGATTAAAATCGATCCGATTTTAAGTTTTAAATGCAGTAGGAATGATTACTTGTGGCAGTAGTTTATGTACATTGCAAACGAGCACATTTGCTTTACTTTTCTTGAAGTAAAATAACATTTTTGGTTTTTTTTTTTCCTCCTAGGAACCTCGGAGAGCTGATAGATCGGTTTGTGGCTGATTTCAAAGCCCAGGGGCCACCTAAGCCCAACACTGATGAAGGGGGTGCCGTGCTCCCCAGCTGCGCCGACCTCTTTGTCTACTACAAGAAGTGCATGGTGCAATGCTCTCAGCTCAGTACTGGGGAGCCCATGATCGCCCTGACCACCATTTTCCAGAAGTACCTCCGAGAATACGCCTGGAAAATCCTCTCTGGCAACCTGCCCAAGTGAGTCCTGTTCTTCATAGTCTGAGTGGTGGCAAATAGACCTAAATATGGGAATCTTAAGGAAATCCACTCTGAAGTTGTTTACTAAACCACCAAGAGTATCAAGGAGGAAAGCACGCTTCCTGAGTTCCCGAGGGCCTGAAGCTATTTCCTCTCTGACATTCCACAGCTGATCAAGACCATCAGAGGAAATGTCCACACTGACTGCCCACGTGGGCAAATCTTACCACGGTGGACTCGAGAACCAATCCCATTGTATGCCTATTTAATTTTCATGGATTCAGCTATAGATACTTGGCACATACAAAAAAAGTGAGGTTGTGGTGGAAATAACTGATAAATAGCTTAAGCAGTTTCACCCAAGCCTCTTTTGGTGAGATGATGCCCCGGAGTGATGGGTTGGAGGAATGAATCTGCTTTTTCCTCATTCCCAGTAGGTTCCAAGTCCCTCTTGTGGTGCACACTTCCTGCCATGCTGGACAGAGCCTAATGTTTCAGATGCGGTAGGATTGGGGGTCAGCTACTGCATAGCTCCTAATTATGGGGACTATTGTGTTATCCTGAGGCATTAGAACTGGACATAGCCTAATGTTTGAAGATGCGGTAGGATTGGGGGCAGCCGAGGCAGGAGGATCACTTGAGGTCAGGAGTTTGAGACCAGCCTGGCTAATATGGTGAAACCCCATCTCTACTAAAAATACAAAAATCAGCTGGGTGTGGTGGTGCATGCCTGTAGTCCCGGCTGCTCGGGAGGCTGAGGCAGGAGAATCACTTGAACCCGGGAGGCGGAGGTTGCGCTGAGCCGAGATTGTGCCATTGCACTCCAGCCTGGGCATTGCAGGGAGACTCCGCCCTAAAAAATAAATAAATAAATAAATAAATTATGTATAATCCCACTACCCAAAGAGAACGTAACTTTTTGTATATATTTTTCCGTTCTTGATAGATACCTAATGTGTGTGATCTGTGTGCTTTTGTTTGTTTGTGTCACGGAATTGGGGCTATACTGCTTATAGCTTTATTCCCTGCAGCTACCGTTTAACTTCATCGTGGGAGCATTTTCCCACGTGTATTAGTCAGCATCTCAGCAGAAAAAAATGGCATACTCAGCTGGGATTATGTCAGTAGAGAGACTGTTCACAGAAGTGGGGGCAAGGTGAAAGGAGCCAACAGAGGATTCCAAAGCATCCAGATATGAGTGGGTAGTGGTTACTACCATAGAACTCACTCAGTAGCTGGGGCTGCCCCAAAACCTGTAGTCACAGGAGGATGTGTGATGGGTGTTGGCCTCTTGAGACACTTAGGGCCTTGGGCAGGAAGCATGTCTTAACATTCGCTTATGTCCTCCTCCACAAGCACACATGAGTCCCCTTGCAGACTTCTCTTAACATTCGCTTATATCCTCCTCCACCAGCACACACGAGTCCCAGTGCAGACTTTTCTTAACATTCACTTATGTCCTCCTCCACAAACACACATGAGTTCCAGTGCAGACTTCTCTTAACATGCGCTTATGTCCTCCTCCACCAGCACACATGAGTCCCAGTGCAGACTTTTCTTAACTGAAAGAAACAGGGTAGGTAACCATCTTTCGTGCTCCACACGGTCCTAAATGAGTTCTGCACATCAGGAGATTCCAAGCTAAAGAGAGGACAGCTCAGCAGCCTTCCCTTTGGATATTAGACCATCCTAGTTAATGTGACTAATGGCCTGCTGATGATTCAGATTAACTAAAATAGGAATCATCTCTTCCTATTTCTGACGGTGTCAAGGTAAGGTCAGTAGGAAAAGGACTCATTGTATGTGAATTGATTTGGGCCATGTCCAGCCTTTACTTCCCCCTTTTCTGTATCTTAAAATAATGTAGTTTCCAGTTCAGGAAGCAAATTAGAAATTCCATGCTGACTTGTTCCTGTTCCTTTTCTTCAGAACCACAACCAGCAGTGGAGGACTGACTATCAGCAGCCTCCTCAAGGAAAAGGAGGGCTCAGAAGTAGCCAAGTTCACTCTGGAGGAGCTCTGCCTCATCTGTAACATCCTGAGCACGGCAGAGTACTGTCTGGCCACCACCCAGCAGGTGAGCCATCCTGGCTGCCCACTCACCACCTCCTTTTCCTGAACCCTCTGGGCTGCGTCGCTCGGCGAGTAAGAATATACGTCCTAACATGGCCACAGACAACCTTGGGTCAGACCAGTTGGCCTGCCACAGAGGAAAGCTCAGTGTCCAGCCATAAGGCTGCCCAGGCAGCTGTCTTACAGAAAGGCCTTGTTAAAAGAAGACTGGGCAAGAAAGTATGACTGGTCACCTCCCTGGAGTTGTGTAAGCTCCTCAAAGGGCATGACCTGTTAAAAGTAGGTCAGTAGCACTCCAACCCATATGAGAAAAGCAGTAACAAGCTTGTCTGTGCTAGGACCCAGCCTTTGGTGATGATGAGTCACAGCCAGTTATTCCATGCTCAGAAGTGTTACTAAGTTAAGCAGAATCCTTTGGGCTTTTATGTGTCTTCTGAAATTTACATGGCATTTTCAATCTGCCTCAACAAATAGCCATTGTTTGGGATGCTGACGTTTAGGAACTGGGGGACAGGAAAGGGTGATGCCTCTGCTGGAGGCCCCCACATGGCCATAGTTCAGCAACTGATGGAGCAGAAGGAAGACCCAGAATAACCTTTGATTCAGCCTTAAACATGGAATTAGAAGTCCTTTTCACACTTGGTCTGGGATTCCCCTGAGGCCAAGAGAAAGAAAGTAATTTGGAAAGGTTCTGCTCTTCTACCCACTTTGTATTTATAATTTACAGATGCCTAGACCACAAGAAGACAGTCATAAATGATAGTTCAGACAGCCCAGCTTGGAGCTCCTGTGTGCCAGGGCAGCAATATAGCAGGTCAAATAGGAAGTGTGTCTACCAAGGCCCCTCAGTGGCACATAAGCCAGCCAGAGGCAGAGGCAGCAGCACACTCTGCCTGGGGACCTGGTCATGTTGAGTTGCGAAGGTCATGACCTTCCAGGGTTTGGCCTTGGAGCCACAGAGCAGTCCGTTTAGCCCCAGGCCACTCCCCAGGTAAGATGGCACTATCTGTAAGGACCTCCAAGGCAGGGGTTCCAGAGTTCTTTCATGAAGAAACACTGTTTAACTATTTTGGGTGTGCACAGAAAGAAATACGATACATGTAAATATGCTATTTTAAAGGTAAAATAACCGTAGTATTTAAAAAAATAAAGATCCCTTTTAATCCCATCATCCTCAAATAATCATATTAGCAATTTGGGGTATTTTTTCAATTGTTATTCATAGACATAGTTTTGAATGTTACAATCTTAATTCACTGTTATATCCTTTTATTGTTAGTGTCATACATAGCATTAGCATTTCTCCTGTCATTATAATGATAGTAATAATCATAACTATCATTACAGGGTCATTATTACTATCATTGTTTATGG
Source organism: Homo sapiens (assembly GCF_000001405.40). Lineage (NCBI taxonomy): Eukaryota > Metazoa > Chordata > Mammalia > Primates > Hominidae > Homo > Homo sapiens. The sequence continues at coordinate 118,532 of NW_017363817.1, read as the reverse complement.
CCACATAATATTTCTCTTTAAGGGACTATACCATAAATTATTTATTTATTTATTTATTTTGAGACAGAGTCTTGCTCTGTCTTCCAGGCTGGAGTGCAGTGGCCATGATCTTGGCTCATTGCAGCCTCCACCTCCCAGGTTCAAGCAATTCTTCTGCCTCAGCCTCCTGAGTAGCTGGGATTATAGATGCCCATCACCATCCCCGGCTAATTTTTGTATTTTTTTTTTTTTTTTAGTAGAGATGGGGTTTCACCATCTTGGCCAGGCTGATCTCCAACTCTTGACCTTGTGATCCACCTGCCTTGGCCTCCCAAAGTGCTGGGATTACAGGTGTGAGCCCCTGTGCCCGGCCTTGTACCATAACTTATTTAGCAAGCATCCCTGATCGTTGTTTATAGTGCTTCAAATTTTGCTTTTTTTTTGAAACAGAGTCTCTCTCTGTCACCCAGGCTGGAGTGCAGTGGCACGATCTCGGCTCACTGCAAGCTCCCCCTGCCGGGTTCTCGCCATTCTCCTGCCTCAGCCTCGCGAGTAGCTGGGACTACGGGTTCCCATCACCACGCCTGGCTAATTTTTTTTTATTTTTAGTAGAGGCCGGGTTTCACTGTGTTAGCCAGGATAGTCTCGATCTCCTGATCTTGTGATCTGCCCGTCTTGGCCTCCCAAAGTGCTGGGATTACAGACGTGAGCCACTGTGAGTAGCTGGGACTACAGGCACCCGCTACCACACACAGCTAATTTTTTGTATTTTTAGTAGAGACGGGGTTTCACTGTGTTAGCCAGGATGGTCTCAATCTCCTGACCTCGTGATCCACTCACCTTGGCCTTCCAAAGTGCTGGGATTATAGGCGTGAGCCACCATGCCCAGCCAAAATTTTGCTTTTATAGATAATCCTGGCAGGGTACAGTGGCTCACGCCTGTAATCCTAGCATATTGGGAAGCCAAGGTGGAAGGATCGCTTGAGGCCAATAGTCCAAGACCAGCCTGGGTAACATAGTGAGACCTGGTCTTTACAAAAAATTTAAAAGTTAGTTGAGTGTGGTGGTACATGCCTGTGGTCTCAGCTACTTGGGAAGCTGAGGTTGGAGGATCGCTTGAGCCTGGGAGGTCAAAGCTGCAGTGAGCTATGATCACACCACTGCACTCCAGCCTGGGTGACAGAGTGAGACCCTGTCTCTAAAAAAAAAAAAAAAAAAAAAGATAATCCTTACAAAGAATGTCTTTCTGAATATAGCATCTTAAATGTTTTGCATTAGTTTTCTAGAACAGACTCTTAGAAGTTCTAGAAATAAGTTGAAGACCATTTTGATGACTGATGATACAAGTGGCCAATTATTTTTTATTTAGTGAAAATTGTTTTTATTGATTACAAAAGTAATACATTCTTAGCACCTTTATTGTGATCTCTAAATACAATTTTCCACTAAAAGAAACCAGAGATTCCTGGAGAAATGACTAATTCCAGGTCAAGGGCAGGAAATCTACAAGATGAATCAGAACATCATGTTACACAAAAAGCAAGAAAAATATCAAAGACTATTAGTGTCATCTCAAGAGGACCCAGGGAGATATAGTGGGTTGAAGTGTCCCCCCAACCCCAAAATATGTCCAAGTCCTAGGCCTTGGGACATGTAAATGTGACTTTATCTTGGTAAATGTAATTAAGTATCTCAAGATGAGATGGTCCTGGATTTAGGATTGGTGGGGGGCCTTATCTAATGACTGTTGTCCTTAGAAAGGAGAGAGAGATTGAACACACAGAGATACAGGGAAGAAGGCCGTGAGAAGGAGGCAGAGGCTGGAGTCAGACTTCTATGAGCCAAGGAACATCAAGGATTGCCAGCAAACACCCAAAGCTAGAAGAGAGGTGTAAATAGTTTTTTCCTCAGAGCTTCCAGAAGAGTGGGGGCGCGGTGGCTCATGCCTATAATCCCAGCACTTTGGGAGGCTGAGGAGGGTGGATCACTTGAGGTCAGGAGTTTAAGACCAGTCTCGTCAACATGGCAAAACCCCGTCTCTACTAAAAGAATACAAAAATTAGCCGGGTGTGGTGGCTTCTCACTTGGCAGTCTCATTCCCCAAGCCTCAGGTCCCCGCTTCAGTATCACCTCCTCAGAGAGCCCCTCCTGGCCACCCCCCTTCAGCAGAGAGGCCCTCCTGGCCACCCCCCTTCAGTAGGTAGCTCCCTTATTCCAGCACTGCCAAATTTATTTCCTAACACCACAAAACCGAAGTTACGTCTCGGCTGGCTTACTTCCTTATTATCTGGCGCCCCCATTAGTTTTAAGTTACATGCCAGAAAGTCTACTTTGTTCACCTCTGTTCATTAGCACCAAATACAATGCCTGGTACGTAATAAGTGCTTAATAAAGATCTCTTGAAGGAATAAAAGAGCCCACTCCTGAGATAATGGCATTAACCCATGATGATGCCAGAGCCCTCATGACCTCATACCTCTCAACACTGTGGCTTCAGGGATTAAGCTTATAACCCATAAACTTTGGAGAACACAATCAAACCACAGAACGATGTTATGAATTGCTATTGTAAATAGTTTTTAAAAAACATAAACTACACTTTTAAGGATACTTTTACATTTACAGAAAAATTGCAAAGATCGTTTGTATGGTTCCCATATACCACTTACCCAGTTTCCCATATTATTAACATTGATATGAAATATTTGTTACAATTAATGAACCAATAATGATGTATTATTGGTGTTGCTTTTAAATTTTATTTTCCAATTCCTTGTTGCTCAGATTCTTTTTGTTTAATATGGGGTCTCAATCTGTTGCCCAGGCTGGAGTGCGGTGGTTTGATCACAGCTCACTGAAACCTGGAACGAAAGCGATCCTACCCTCAGCCTCCCAAGTGGCTGGGACTACACTGGGACTTCAGGCACCTGCCACCATGCCTGGCCAGTATTTTTTTATTTTTTGTAGAGATAGGGTCTCACTGTGTTGCTCAGGCTGGTCTTGAGCTCCTGGGCTCAAGTGATCTTCTTGCCTCAGCCCCCAAAGAGTTGGGATTACCGGGTGAGCCACTGGGTCCAGCCTGCTCAGATTATTAAGTCTCTGGTTTCTTCTTCCATTTCCCTTTGCCCCCTCTGCAATCTTTTCTTAAAGAAACTGTGTTGTTTGCCCTGTAGATTTTCCCAAGTTTTGGATTTTCCTGATTGCACCCACGAGTATTAATGGACATTTTACTTTGTCTCGTATTTCCCATAAATTGGTAGTTAGATGTAGAAGCCTGAGCTGATTCAGATTCTTTTTTACAGAAAACTACATCATAATGATGTTTTGTACGTCTGTCATCAAGATACATAATGTTTGGTTGCTCTTTGTGTGATGTCAGCAGCCTCTGATGCTCAAAGCCCAGATCCATTATTCCATTAGGAGGTATAAAGAATGATACTCTGGCCGAGTGCAGGGGCTCACGCCTGTAATCCCAGCACTTTGGGAGGCCGAGGTGGGTGGATCACCTGAGGTCAGGAGTTCGAGACCAGCCTGGCCAACATAGTAAAACCCCCGTCTCTACTAAAAATACAAAAATTAGGGCCGGGCGTGGTGGCTCACGTCTGTAATCCCAGCACTTTGGGAGGCTGAGGCGGGTAGATCACGAGGTCAGGAGTTTGAGACCAGCATGGCCAACATGTGGCCAAAAAGTGAGGAGCCTGGAGGGCTTAGAAAGTGGGGGTGCGGCAAAGCAAGGCAGTGGGTCAGCAGGGCTGAGCAGGCCATGTTTCAGGGAGAGGAATAAGGAAGTGTGAAGTATGAAGGTCCTGAGGGCGAAGGACCCTGGTGTCTCCCAGAAATTTAAAAGGCCAGTGTAACTGAAGCCTAGCAGGCAAGGTGGAAAGTGGCAAGACGGGGCCAGAAAGCTGGGCAGGACCCAATTCATGGTTAGGAATTTGGATTTTATTTTCGGTGTCATAGGAAGAGGCTGCTGAAGAGTTTAAGCATGATAAGCCTGTGCCATAATTTGTTTTATCCTTTGTAAATACACATGTAGATTGTTTCCAGCTTTATGAGAACAGTATTGATCTGTTTTGTTCACTAAATAACTCTCTTATTCTGTTACACAGCCTGAACAAAGCGGGCTCTCATTAAATATTGGTTGAATTAATGAATGCTGCAAAAAATACTTGCATATCTTTGTATGTTATTCTCCTTATTTCATTGAAATGCATTTCTAGTTGTGAAATTGCTGGTTTAGGCAATATGTGTATTTAAAGTTTTGCTTTTTGAATAAATTGCCTTCCAAAAAGTTTATGCTAATTTATGCACCCCAACAGCATTTTCAAATTTAAGACAAAACATTGGTTATTCTGTCCTGGCACGGTGGCTCACACCTGTAATCCCAGCTGTAGTCCCAGCTACTCAGTGCTTTGGGACACGGAGGTGGGTGGATCACCTGAGGTCAGGAGTTCAAGACCATCCTGGCTGATATGGTGAAACCCCGTCTCTACTAAAAATACGAAATTAGCCGGACATGGTGATGCACGCCTGTAGTCCCAGCTACTCGGGAGGCTGAGGCAGGAGAATCACTTAAACCCTGGAGGCAGAGGTTGCAGTGAGCCAAGATCGTACCATTGCACTCCAGCCTGGGCAACAAGAGTGAAACTCCGTCTCAAAAAAAAAGGCCAAAACATTAGCTATTCTTAGAGTTTGTGTAATAGGTTTACAGTGCTAGATTAATCAACTCCCAGGGATATCTCCAAGTATTTACAAGTCTTGGTCCCGTTATTTTTCTTTGAGCGCCAGGAGCGTGTTGAGTGTTTCTGTCCCCGGCTGTCGGCTGATGATGGCAGGGACCACATTTCTTTTGTTTACCACTGTATCCCCAATGCCTTAATGAGGTGCTTGGCCCGTAGTAGCATTCACTGACTATTTTAGCTGGTTTTACTGCTACTCAACACCAAAGGTTTCCATTGTGGGTGGGCAAGTCTGTAGTTCATGGGGCAGGGAGTATCTTAAAATCAGCGTCTTTTCAGAATGAGTTGATGTGAATTATTGATGTGTGGTAAGAAACAAGTACTGCACAGTGCTAAAGGGCACAGGCTCTGGAGGAAGTTTGATTCCTGGCCCTACCACTTCTATCTTGGGTAGGCCCCCCCTCTATTTTTCTGATCTGTAAAATGACGATGATAATAATAGAATCTTCCTCATAAGGTTGTAAGATTGGCCAGGCACAGTGGCTCACACTTGTAATCTCAGCACTTTGGGAGGCCAAGGCAGGCAGGTCACCTGAGGTTGGGAGTTTGAGACCGGCCTGACCAACATGGTGAAACCCCATCTCTACTAAAAATATAAAATTAGCCGGGTGTGGTAGCGCACGCCTGTAGTCCCAGCTACTCGGGAGGCTGAGGCAGGAGAATTGCTTGAACCCAGGAGGCAGAGGATGCAGTGAGCCGAGGTCGCACCACTGCACTCCAGCCTAGGCAACAAGAGCGAGTCTCAAAAAAAAAAAAAAAAAAAGTGTATGGAATTATGCCTGAATCATCAAACGCAGTAAATGTTAACTATTATTGTGATGGTACTTCTTTGGATAATCATTAACCGTGCATCCATTTCTTCTGTTTTTCAACAGCTAGAAGAAAAACTCAAAGAAAAAGTGGATGTAAGTCTGATTGAACGAATCAATCTGACTGGAGAGATGGACACGTTCAGCACGTATGTACCCTGCACACACTTACTGGCTGCCTGCCCTTTCTCCACTACACAGCAGCGTGCAGCACGTATGTACCCTGCACACGCTTGCTCGCTGCCTGCCCTTTCTCCACTACACAGCAGCATGTGGCACGTATATACCTTGTACACGCTTGCTCACTGCCTGCCCTTTCTCCACTACACAGCAGCGTGCGGCACGTATATACCTTGTACACGCTTGCTCACTGCCTGCCCTTTCTCCACTACACAGCAGCATGTGGCACGTATATACCTTGTACACACTTGCTCGCTGCCTGCCCTTTCTCCACTACACAGCAGCATGTGGCACGTATATACCTTGTACACGCTTGCTCACTGCCTGCCCTTTCTCCACTACACAGCAGCGTGCGGCACGTATATACCTTGTACACGCTTGCTCACTGCCTGCCCTTTCTCCACTACACAGCAGCGTGCGGCACGTATATACCTTGTACACACTTGCTCGCTGCCTGCCCTTTCTCCACTACACAGCAGCGTGCCTCAGGCTGTTGGCTTTAGTCACTACAGAACCTAAGAGGTTTCTGTTGGGTCAGAATGAGTCCCTACTGGCCACTAAGAAGAAGCTTCAGAACTGGGCTGCCATTGTACCTCCTCAGATGCAGTTGCTCTTTTAGCTTATGGGGTCTTCATTGTCTCACTGTGAAGAATAACCACAGAGAAGACATTCTCCCTTGGCCATTGCTGATCTGCCCCCACCTAAACCCACAGAAGGCCAGGCCTACCTTCAGTGTTTTAAAGTATAAAGTATAAATGGCTTAAATTTAGCCACCGAGGGAATAAGAGTGTGGGAGTGGCAGGGGAGGTCCGTCCAGGAAGTTCTAACAGTAAAGTCTTCTTTCCCTGTTAGGACCTTGTGGTATTTTTGTTGTGGTCAGTTTCTGTTCCACTGCCATTAAATGAGACAGGCATGGGCCAGGCCTCAGCTTTCACATCAACCACTTATTGACGAAGAATCAAAATTCTCAGCTTTCACATCAACCACTTATTGACGAAGAATCAAAATTCTCAGCTTTCACATCAACCACTTATTGACGAAGAATCAAAATTCTCTTCTTAGTTTATTTCCTCCACTTTTCTTAGCTTTTTATTTTCTTCAGTTCTGACTTAAACATTTTTGGGAAGCAGGTTCTTTGGGAGGAAGATGTGAACAGGGATACTGGGGTGGTGATTAGGGAGACTGACCGTGGGATTCTATATCCTGACTGGGTGAGGACACACCCAGATAAAACCAGGACATGAAGAAAGAGCCAAGCTGTTCCTCCGCTGTCATTAATTAAAGCTCAAACTTTGCCAGTGAAATGATGAATCTGATTTTTACACAGGGGCCTGAGTGTCAGTCATTCAGACGGCCGTTGTTTGAAAGGGTGACCACAGTGATTTGTTTGATTTGCAGCGTCATCTCCAGCAGTATTCAGCTGCTGGTTCAGGATCTGGATGCTGCCTGTGATCCTGCCCTGACTGCCATGAGCAAGGTAAGGTCTTGGGAAATGGCATCCTACAAACTAACGAGAGCAGCCCAAGGTGGCTTCTACTGGCCCTTGTCTGTAGCTTCTCCAGGCTCATCGGAGCGTAAAGGATCAGCTGAGGAGAATGGAGAGGCCCCGGAGTTCCTGAAAGCACTCAGTTAGTGTCGCACCTGCGTCAGTTCAGTTGCTTGTCCTTTTAGAATGAGACAGAGCATCACAGTATTGGAGGATGGCAAAAAAAAAAGAGACGAAGTAAATGTGTTTGATGAGTCTAAAGGAGATGTTGTCTGTGGTTTATTTATATTTTTTTAGAGACAGGGTCTCTCTCTGTCACTCAGGCTGGAGTGCAGTGGTGCCACCATGACTCCCTGCAGCCTTGACCCTCTGGGCTCATCAGTCCTCCTGCCTCAGCCTCCCAAGTAGCTGAGACCACAGGTGCATGCCACTGTGTCCAACTACTTTTTAAATTTTTTGTAGAGCTAAGAGTCTTGCTATGTTGCCCAGGCTGGTCCTGAACTCCTGGCGTCAAGCAGTCTTCCCACCGAGTCCTCCCCAAGTGCTGGGATTACAGGCATGAGCCACAGTGCCCAGCTGAGATGGATCATTTTTAATTACTGAGCGCTACCTCATGTTCCTCTCATGTTCCTATTTTTGGCTTTTATGTGCCTATGCCTTTTTTTCCCAAATGAATGTCAATTCCGTAAGTGCACAGACCATGTCTTTCACCCCTCTTTTATCTCTCATGTAGTCTTGAATATGGGAGATTCATTTTTGTTAATTAAAAACCAATCAGCCATGTCCTTTATTTACGTATTATCTTTGATTAGTATCTGACACATGCTAAAAACCTTGGTGTGGTCTCACCAGAATGGGTGTTTTCATTAGTGCTTAAAGTAGTAACTTCTGACTCATTCTTCATTCTTGCCCACTGAGAGGTTTTTCCAACTCCTTCTGAGCTCTGGTGCCAATGTAAGAGTATTTGATCAGGTTGTGAACTCTGGTTTTCTAATATCGTGGTGGCCCATCAGTCAGCCCTTGGCCCTCAAGTCTCCTCCTTTGGCACTTACTGAGCGCTACCTCATCTTCCTATTTTTGACTTTTATGTGCCTATGCCTTTTTTTCCCAAATGAATGTCAATTCCGTAAGTGCACAGACCATGTCTTTCACCCCCTCTTTTATCTCTCTTGTAGTCTTGAATATGGGAGATTCATTTTTGTTAATTAAGTTGGAAATGGGCCTTTGTTATGCTAAACCCAAGTAACATGCAGCTGCAACTCTAGAACTTTGTAGAGCAGGGGTTGGCAAACTAGAGCCTGGGAACCAGATCTGGCCCACTGCTTGTATTTGAAAATAAAGTTTTATTGGAATACAGCCATGTTCCTTTATTTATGTATTATCTATGGCTGCCTTTTTGCAATATAGTGGTAGAATTGAGCCATTGCAACAGAGACTAGCCCACAAAGCTAAAAAAATTAAATATTTACTGTCTGGCCCTTTACAGAAAAAGTTTGCCAATGTCTGCTCTAGAGTCATAGGCTCTTGTAGCAAATTCTGGAGAAACAATTTATCTAGGTTATACTGGCCAGTACCAGAGGGCAGTGGGAGGAACACTAACTTTAGAGTCAGACAGACCTAACTCCTCCAGGGTTTCCTTTGGGGTGTTGAGCAAATGATTCACCTGTCTGGGCCAACGTGACATCATCTGGGCCCACATACCCCAAGTGAACTGTGGATCTCTGCCTCCCAGCATTGCTGTGAGGATGAAACATGGAACGGGCGGGTCTAGTGCCAGGCACATAGTAAATGCTCATTAAATGTTAGTTCCCTCTCCCTCTTGTCAGGAGGAATGACCATGTCACAAGGTTGTGTAAGCAGACATTTGGTCTGAATTTGGTTTTGCAGTAGATTGTAAATATTTAACAAAAATAAGATTAAAACCAAAATGTAGGCTTTAGGGTTTTATGAACTGAAGTGGCAAGTCCTAAAATAGCTGATGTCACAGTTTTATTCAAAAAGCTGATCTTTTCAGCAGTCCGGTGCTGATGGGTACTTCCAGTATTCTCAGCATTCACAGGAGAACACTCTGAGCAGGCAAAGTGAGGCCAGTCCATCTGCTTAGAGGATTCGTTTTGCCAGCTCTCATGATCCCCTCGCTGCTGGTAAGCATTCTCTACATCCTGAGTGGGATCTGTGCCAGCTGCCATCTCTCCTGAACTGCCACACACTTCAGATCGGAATGCAGCTGCCGAAAGAATTTTCACATTCACCAAAGGAAGAGTGGGATTTTTTTTTTTCAATAAAATCACGGTTGGAAGGGGTTTAACACTGCAAGTGTTGCTTATACGAACTGTCGGTTCGTTCGGTGGATTTCCCTCAAACCCTGCCCCGTCCCACCCTCCACTTCTGCCCCGTGCCCACACCAGCAAATACGAACAGAGACCGTGCCTCCAGAGTCCTTTGTTTATATCATAGGAAAACCACAGACTTGGGAACGCAGCAGCTGGGAGGCCATTACTTTTTGTCTGAGTCTTCTGGAGTTCTAGCAAAATAAAATCCATGTGATGGAAATAAACAAGCCAAGTGGTCACAAATTGATTCAACACACATTCTGTGTTCTTGATGCCTGCATCCTGTTTTGTGTAGTTTCTTCTAGGATTTAAAAAAACTTTTGTGATAATGGTTATTTCTGTCTCTGATTCTATCATTTTTGCTGCTGGTTAAACAGTTCAGTTCAGACCCTGCCCAGCACAGTGCTGGGAGCTGCAAGGCTCAGAAAGGCATAAACCCTTGGCTAAGGTGTTTAGATTCCAGTAGCTGAGGGCAAGAGATGTGTAAGATGACAGCAATACCCAGTAACTTTAATATAAGAGATGAGGAAATCAGTGCCATAAGAAAAGTACAAAATACACCCTTTTTAAAGAGGGAGGAGTTCATATCCAGGTGGGGAGGCAAAGAAGGCCCTCGTAAGGAAGTGGTGTTTGAAACAGATGAGGGCGAAATTCTGAATGAGTTTGTGATTAGTAGGGCAGTTCAAACAGGGTGAAAACATGAGTAAAGAGAGGTTAGGGAAGCTAAAGAGCTTGGTTCAAACTGCCAATCTCATTCAACATCCCAGGGGCTCCTCAGGCTACTCCTGTACTTGGACTGACAGAGTTAAGATTGGAAACGAGACTGTCCTCAAGGAGTCTATACCCTGCTGGGAAGAAAACTGAGAACAACCAATACTGTAAATAAGTGTATCTTATAAATGTCAGAAGGACTGTTGGCTGGCCAAAGTGGAGTGTAGTCGTTGGATATTTCCAGAAGGACTGTTGGCTGGCCAAAGTGGAGTGTAGTCGTTGGATGATTCCAGAAGGACTGTTGGCTGGCCAAAGTGGAGTGTAGTTGTTGGATGATTCCAGAAGGACTGTTGGCTGGCCAAAGTGGAGTGTAGTCGTTGGATATTTCCAGAAGGACTGTTGGCTGGCCAAAGTGGAGTGTAGTCATTGGATGATTCCAGAAGGACTGTTGGCTGGCCAAAGTGGAGTGTAGTCATTGGATGATTCTGAGTTGACGGAAGGAGACTTCCTTGACAAGAGGGATTGAGCCTGGCAACTTGGTTAAGTCATTTTCCTGGGAGACCTCATTCTCATGGAAGGCATCCCATGGCCTCTTCCTTGGTTGGCATATAGAGCTTTCATTATCTATCTCTTTACTCCACTGCTAGGTCAGTTTCTGCCGCTCACTCCGGAGTATGTGCCCTGTTCTCCAGTCGCAGCCATGTTTACTTCCCTGAATGCATATTGCTCTTTTGCGGCTTCCATGCCTTTTCTCATTTTATTCTTTCTGCCCAGAATTTTCTTCCTGCTATCGTCTGCCCAAGGAGCACGTCCTTTAAGATCAAGTTCAAATGTCTGTCCCCATTTAAAAACCTGAGGTATAATTCATATACCACAGAATTCACCCTTTTAAAGTATACAGTTGGCCAGGAGCAGTGGCTCACTCCTTTGGGAGGCTGAGGAGTGCAAATCATCTGAGGTTAGGAGTTCGAGGCCAGCATGGTGGGACCCTGTCTCTATTAAAAACACAAAAAATTTGCTGGACATGATGGCACACACCTATAGTCCCAGCTACTCAGGAGGCTGAGGTAGGAGAATCTCTTGAACCTGGGAGGCCGAGGTTGTAGTGAGCCAAGATTGCAGCACTGCACTCCAGCCTGGGTGACAGAGTGAGACTCTATTTTATAAATAAATAAATAAAGTGTACAATTTAGTTGTTTTTAGTATATCCACAATGTCATGAAACCACCACCACCATCTAATTCCAGAACATCTTCATTACCCCAAAAAGAAACCCCGTACCTCTCAGCAGTCATTCTACATTCCCCTGACAACCATTAGCCTACTTTCTGTCTCTATAGATTTGCCCCTCCTGACATTTTGCATACCTAGAATCATATGGCATGTGGGACATCTTGTGCTTGGCTTTCTTCACTTAGCGTAGTGTTTTCAGGGCATGTGCATGGTGGGGCATGTGTCAGCACTCCATTCCTTTTTGTGGCTGAGTAACATTCCATCATATGGATAGACCACATTTTGTTTATTCATTCGTCTATTGGACGTTTGAGTTATTTCTACTTTCTAATTTTGAATAATGCTGTGAACATTCATGTACAATTTTTCGTGTGAACATGTTTTCAGTTCTCTTCAATATGTACCTAAAGGCCAGGCGTGGTGGCTCATGCCCGTAATCCCAGCACGTTGGGAGGCCGAGGTGGGCAGATCACCTGAGGTCAGGAGTTCAAGACCAGCCTGGCCAACATGGCGAAACCCTGTCTCTAATAAAAATACAAAAATTAGCCGGGTGTGGTAGCGTGCGTGCCTGTAATCCCAGCTACTTGGGAGGCTGAGACAGGAGAATGGCTTGAACCTGGGAGGTGGAGATTGCAGTGAGCCAAGATTGCACCACTGCACTCCAGCCTGGGTGACAGAGGGAGACTCTGTCTCAAAAAAAAAAAAAAAAAAAAAAGGATCTAAGGGACCTAAGGAATGGAACTGAAAGAGCCGTATGGTCAATTTATGTTTAACATTTTGAGAAAGTGCCACACTGTTTTCTGAAGTGACTGTGCCGTTGTACCTTTCCACAGCAAAGTGTAAGGAATCCAGTTTCTCCACATCTTCTCCCACACTTGTTTTCCTTTTTTAATTATAGCCATTTTCGTGGGTGTGAAGTGGTATCTCATTGTGATTACAGTTTGCATTCCTTGCATGACTAATATGTTGATCACCTTCTCAGATGCTACTGGCGATTTGTATATTCTCTTTGAAGAAATGAGAATTAAATGTTTTGCCCATTTTAAAATTGGGTTGTCTTTCTGTTGTTGAATTGTAAAAGTTCTTTTTATATCTGGATACTAGACCCCTTATCAGATATGAAATTTGTAAATATTCTCTCCCATTCTGTGGGTGGGTTGCCTTTTCACTTTCTTGATAATGTCCTTGATTTTCTGAAGTTGGTATATCGTGTGTGTGTGTGTGTGTGTGTGTGTGTGTGTGTGTGTGTGTGTGTGAGATATCTAAGATACCATTGCCTGATCCAGAATCATAAAGATTTACTCTGTGGTTTCTTCTAAGAAATTTAGGTCTTCACAAAAAAGAAAAAAAGGAAAAAAATGTAGGTCTTCAATCCATTTCGAGTTAATTTTTGCATATGGTGTGAGGCAAAGATTCAGCAGCATTCTTTTGCTGAAAGGATACTCAGCTTTCCCAGCACTATTTGTTGAAACGACTATTCTTTTCACATTGGATGATCTTGATACCCTCGTAAAAAATCAGTTAACCATAGATGTGTGGGATTATTTCTGGACTCTCAGTTCTATTCCATCTATCTGTATGTCCACCCTCAGGCCAGTACCACACTGTTTGGCTATAATAGCTTTGTAGTAATCTTTGAAATCAAGAAGTATGAGTCTTCCAACTTTGTTCTTTTTCAACACTGTTTTGGCTCTTCTAGGTCCCTTACAATGTCAGCATTTCTTGCCTCAGCCAGAGCATATTTATTTCTCTTTCAAGACACCATAGTACCTAGACTACCTTTCTGCTTTGTTATGTAATCATTTTTATGTCTTTGTCTTCCCTATTAAACTTTGAACAACTTGAGGGCTGTGTCTTATTCATTTTGGAAACCCGTGGCATGGCACAGTACTTGCTTAACTGTAGTATTCCCTGAATGACTTTGAAGGTAAAGAGGGAGCCAGGGAGTGGGAGAGAAAGAACCAAAGGACCACAAACACACTTTTGACCAAAGATTGGTAAACAAGTGAGACATAGATAACTCTACTGAGCAGAGGTAGCCAGGTGGAGCTGGTAGATGTAGAGTAGGAAACTTGGACAACTTTGTGAGAGACGGTGGGGTCATAGAATCCCTGAAACCTTTAGGTCCATAGCTGGTGCTGTTGAGGATGGAGTGATGCTCCTCAATGGCACCTGATAGCAGAAGGGCTTCTGACTTCAGCAGGTGGCATCCTGGAGCCGATTGAAGAGATGTGGGAATGAAGGAATACGAGCCCGCGGGGGTGTGGCCCTGAGTCCTGCTGCTAGACAAGGAGAGGGAAATGCAGAGCGGTAGTTTGCTAGATTCACATGCAGGTGCAGCCTTCTGCAGGCCAGGCCGAAGAAGGGGGAGGAAAATGTGATGAAAGTCAGGTGGTCCCTCTGAAACTCTGACTTTGAGATTCCAGTAGTGTTGCTGATGAGTTACAGCAAAATTAACTTCTAGACCACGTTTCCTTCCCATAGTGTTATTTTCTTTCTTTCATAAAAAAATTTCTTCACTCTGTTGCCCAGGCTTGGGTGCGGTGGCATAATCATAGCTTACTGCAGCCTTGACCTCCTGGGTTCCAGTGATCCTCTCACCCTAGCCTCCCAAATAGCTGGTACTACTGGCGCACACCACCACACCTGGCTAATTTTCTTGATTTTTAGTAGAGATGAGGTCTTGCTATGTTGCCCAGGCCAGTCTCAAACTCCTGAGCTCTAGTGATCCTCCCACCTCGGCCTCCCAAAATGCTGGAATTACAGGTGTGAGCCACTGTGCCTGGCCTCCATATTGCTTATTTTCTTAGATAACCTGTATGAGTTGATAATAAGTTACTATTTACTGAGCACTTACCAGGAATTGGAACCCAATTAATTTCATTCTAACAATAAATTCATCAGATGGCTATGCTATTTCCCCTTTTCACAGATAAAGAAGCTGAAACAGAGACATTAAATCACCTGCTCCAGATCTTTTAGCTACTTGGGAGGCTAAGGTGGGAAGGTCACTTGAGCCTGAGAGGCAGAGGTTGCAGTGAGCTGTGATCACGCCACCACAGTGCCTCTTTATGCAGGATTGTGGCATGCCATACAGAGAGAGTGAGTAAGTCTTTTTGGCAAATGTGGCAACTGAGGCAAAATCAGCTTAAGTAACCTGCCTAAAAGTGGAAGAGCCTCGGCCTCCTAAACTGCTGGGATTGCAAGCATGTTGCCATCGTGCCCGACCAGATGTTTTTGAAAAAAGGAATAAAATTTAAATCACCATAATTTCAATTAGTTGATACATTTCTGTCAGCATGTGCCCAGTCCTGGTGGGTCCACACGAGTGTTCATGCTGATATGATTATGAGTTCTTCAAGCATTCACCATCATCATGGTGTATATTCATCTCCAGCTTTTCTTGATCTGACACCAGGACTTTTCTACAGTGGAGAAGATGTGTTGAACAGCCAACCCACATATTCCAATCTGCGTTGAATATTTTTCCCTGAAAACTAATGAACTTTCCTTCTGGTATCTTCTTTCCTTCCTTCCTCCCTTCCTCCCTCCCTCCCTCCCTGCCTTCCTCACTCCCTCCCTCCCTCCCTTCCTCCCTCTCTCCGTTCCTCCCTTCCTCCCACTCTCCCTTCCTTCCTTCTTTCCTCTCTCCCTCCCTTCCCCTGTCCCCTCCCCTCCCTCCAGACTCCCTTCCCTCCCTCCAAACTCCCCTCCTTCCCTCCCTCCTTCCCTCCTTCCCTCCCTCCCTCCCTCCCTCCCTCCCTCCCTCCCTTCCTTCCTTCCTTCCTTCCTTCCTTCCTTCTCTTCTTCATATTATGCCCAAAGCCATATAACTTATAATAGTGAAGCTAGAAGTAAAACTAGTTCTCCTGATTCTGGAAAAAGTAGTTATTTGGAGTGTTTTGGTGGAAATACAAAGGATTCTATCTTTTAGATTTAAATCCTACAAATCCTTAGAAATGAGTATGTCTGGTTATGCCCCTGTACGTAGGATAGAGAGCCGTGGGCTCCCTAGCAGGGGCTGTTGGTCTCATGGTCCCCGCCTCTCTCCGTGCCTTTTCCTAGGGCTGCTCACATCACTCAGGTAAATAAATCCAAGTCTCTGTTCAGAAGCAAACACACCTAGTGTTTTGCCTATTAATGGTAGTTTTAGGAAAAAACAGAAACTGAATAAATTAAATTTTCTTACCGTCTGGCACATAATTTATATTAGGTTTCAGGATTGTGAACATGTACCCATTTAGGAGGCTGCGTTATAATCCCCCAAAGACACTTTGAAACAGGTAGAAGAGTTCTCAAGTCTGTTCTCATTTTCCTCAGTCATTAAAATGCAGATCTGTTTCAGAAGGACCATGGAAAGCCACAGCTAAGAAATCCTCAAGTTCACTTCTACGTTGAATCAAGACAAGTCTGTTCTCATTTTCATTTTCCTCAGTCATTAAAATGCACATCTGTTTCAGAAGGCCCACAGAAAGCCATGACTAAGAAACTGTCAAGTTCTACCTAGAATCAAGACACAGCTTTCTTTTTCATAAAAAAGATTTTTCCCATTATGACAAAACTAAATCACTTCCATTTTAGAAAAATGCAGATTTTTTTTTTTTTTTTTTGACAGAGTCTCGCTCTATCCGGCAGGCTGGAGTGCAGTGGCGTGATTTGTGCTTATGGCAACCTCCGCCTCCCAGGTTCAAGTGATTCTCCTGCCTCAGCCTCCCAAGTAGCTGGGATTGCAGGTGCCTGCCACCACACCCGGCTAATTTTGTATTTTTGGTAGAGACGGGGTTTCACAGTGTTGGCCAGGCTGGTCTCGAATTCCTGGCCTCAAGTGATCCACCTGCCTTGGCCTCCCAAACTGCTGGGATTACAGGCATGTTGCCATCGCGCCCGGTCAGATTTTTTTGAAAAAAAGAATAAAACTTAAATCACCATAATTTCAATTAATTGATACATATCTGAATTAATTGATAATTATCAGTTATCGAAATTTAGTGATTTTTAGTGATAGTGCAAGTATTCTTAAAATTATAACAGTAGCTAAAATTTACTGTGGAATTTATACGTGCTGCGAGACACTGTGTTAAGAGCATTCCATGCGTTATCTTTCAGTAATAGATTATAGATGTTACCATCATCCCAATTTTATAGACGAGAATACTGAGGCTCAGAGAAATTAGATGACTTGTCCCGGTCACCCCTTTAGAAGGTTGCACAGTGTCAGAAGTCAGACTGGCTGACTCAATTTCAGCATCTTAAGTACCATCTTAATGACCTTTCCTGCTAACTTAGCAGTTACGCTTCCTTAGGCAGGTCACTCGCTGTCCTCAATCCTGTTTCATCCTCATTTATTATTACTCACAAAGAGGAGTAATAATACCTCTTTCACTACATGATTCATTCATCAGGCAGCAAGGTCATGTGAAAATGTCAGGCACAGCACCTGTTACGTGGTAGGTGCTTGATAAACGTTCCTTCAGCGCCCAGTGCGTAGTAGGTGCTTGAGAAACGTTCCTTCAGTGCGTGGTAGGTGCTTGATAAACATTCCTTCAGCCCCTGGTGCGTGGTAGGTGCTTGATAAACGTTCCTTCAGCCCCTGGTGCATGGTAGGTGCTTGATAAACATTCCTTCAGCGCCTGGTGCGTAGTAGGTGCTTGATAAACGTTCCTTCAGTGCGTGGTAGGTGCTTGATAAACATTCCTTCAGTGCGTAGTACGTGCTTGATAAACATTCCTTCAGCCCCTGGTGCGTGGTAGGTCCTTGATAAACGTTCCTTCAGTGCGTGGTAGGTGCTTGATAAACGTTCCTTCAGCGCCCGGTGCGTGGTAGGTCCTTGATAAACATTCCTTCAGTGCGTAGTCGGTGCTTGATAAACATTCCTTCAGCCCCTGGTGCGTGGTAGGTGCTTGATAAACATTCCTTCAGCGCCCGGTGCGTGGTAGGTCCTTGATAAACATTCCTTCAGTGCGTAGTCGGTGCTTGATAAACGTTCCTTCAGCACCTGGTGCGTGGTAGGTGCTTGATAAACATTCCTTCAGTGCGTGGTAGGTGCTTGATAAACATTCCTTCAGTGCGTAGTAGGTGCTTGATAAACATTCTTTCAGCCCCTGGTGCATGGTAGGTGCTTGATAAACGTTCCTTCAGTGCCTGGTGCATGGTAGGTGCTTGATAAACATTCCTTCAGTGCGTAGTAGGTGCTTGATAAACATTCCTTCAGCCCCTGGTGCATGGTAGATGCTTGACAAACATTCCTTCAGTGTGTGGCAGGCGGTTGATAAACATTCCTTCATCTCTTTGGTCTCCACCTGATGCTCAGTGCCCTGCTGCACTTGCCGAAGGTACCTATAAATATAGCAGATGCTGCGGGAGTGAAAGCCCCACCAGGCATCAGAGTGAGAGTGAGCGTGTACGTGTGTGCCTGAGTAAAGTCTACAGCTTGAGGCCAACACCCCGGCAGCCTCAGTTATGAGACTTCAGTTGCCTGAAATGTTCCCAGAGCCCAGCTGTCTGAGTCTATGCTCTGTGTCTCTCTAATCCAGTGAAGAAGTAGGAATTTAAGTATTCACATTTTCAAGAAACCTCTTTCCAAGCTTCCTATAGCAATAGGAAAAAACAAGATCCACTGAAGCTAGTTGTGGAGCGCTGTTCTCTGGTCAAAGTTCCTGCTACAGTAGACTCTCTCTAGAAAGAGTGCTGACCCCCCAGCCCCACTGTGGAGCGTCAGTCAGAGCACATACTTCCTGCCCAGGCCGCAGAAGCTGGGCTCTGGGGACACTCTGGGCCCTGCAGTCTCTTCTTGTGGTGGTTAAACTAGGTCCCGGAGGCACTCATCATTCTTACTGTCTTCAAACTGTGTCTCATTTAGATAGTAGTACCAGTTGAACGCCATCTGTATTCAACTCTACCCAAGCCCCCAAAACAAAAAGCACAACAAGAAACAATTTTAAGTGTAGAGGGGTAACTTCTAAATGTCAAATGAAAAGTTTACCTGGAAAAGTTGAGGTCTCATTTCTACTGATGGCTTTTCATGATGTTTGTTCTTCCAATGCAAGGTACTGTTTGTTTCCTTTTTTGAAAGAGTTCTTTGGGCCAGGCGTGGTAGCTCACACCTGTAATCCCAGCACTTTGGGAGGCTGAGGCAGGAGGATTGCTTGAACCCAGGAGTTCAAGACCAGTCTGGGCAACACGGTGAGACCCCTGTCTCTACAAAAAGTAAAAAAGAAAAAAATATATTTTTTTAATTAGCTGAGCATGGTAGTGTACACCTGTGGTCCCAGCTACTTGGGAGGCAGAGCTGGGAGGATTGCTGGAGCCCAGGAAGTCAAGGCTGCAGTGAACTATGATTGTACCACTGCACTCCAGCCTGGGCAGCAGAGACTCTGTCTCAAAAAAAAATGAAAAATAAAGAGTCCTTTGCTTGATCACTATGTTTCATTAGCGTCTCCTTGAGAAACAGGCCTTACCTTTAACGAAGGCCTAGTTAAGTGCTTTTATTCTTTTTTTGGGCAGGGTGGCGGGGGCGGGTCGGGGGGGAAGTTGTCTAGCAAGCACCTTGTTGTGGGGTTTGGGCTTTAGATAGACCTGGTTGGGCTTTAGATAGACCGGGTTTGGGCTTTAGATAGACTTGGTTTGGGCTTTAGATAGACCTGGTTTGGGCTTTAGATAGACGTGGTTGTCCCAGCTGTGAAATTTTGTGCAAGATACCAAATCTCTTTGAGCTTTTTGAATTTCCTCATCTATAAGGTTGTTGTGAGAACTTAGTGAGATCATGTATGAATAGTAAATGAGACGACGTATGTTTAGGGCCATGCAAAGGGACCTGCGAAGTTCGGTCTTAATGTAGCTATCCTGGGCAGTTCAGGTTGTGACCCAAACCTTCAGTCACCCATGGGGGATGATGGCAAGCATCAGCCATCTGAGGCTGGAGTGCAGTGGTACAATCACAGCTCCCTGCAGCCCCAACCTTCTGGGCTCCAGTGACCCTCCTGCCTCAGCCTCCCTGGTAGCTGAGACTATAGGCGTGTGCCACATTTTTAAAAAATACTAAAGGTAAGGTCACCTTTTATTGTTTTCTAGTACTTTAAATCACTTTCTTAGTTGACTAAGCTGACTTAAGTTTAAAATCATGAATCCACTTGGCCTTTGCTAATACTTCTTTTAGCTTGACCAATGGAGTCATGACTGACCAGAGTATTAAAGCAAATCAGCTCTTTTCACATATATTCCAAATGTGGGCACATACTGACTTGGCCAGTGATCATCAAGAGGAGTTCGGTGACGAGCATGCGGAATAACCAGTGGGAAGTTGAAGAAATCCCAGGCCCCTGCTTGGTCTTGCTTCAGAGCTGCTTTGTAACTGGTGACAGAGCACGTCGCCACCTTCTTTCATGGAGGGCTGTCATGTTTAGATTATTGTTGATAAACCGTTTTGAGATTTTGAAATATACAAAGCTGCCAGCTTGGAAAGTAACAGTCATTGCTATGGACATGATTGGCTTTGGGGGCATCAAGCCCTCCCAGTTCGCTGTGTCTACCCAGAACATTCTGCTCCGAGTCCTGCTGCAGAGCCCAGGAAATGCTGACAGCACCTGTCAATTTTGGCCTCACCCTATGAGCTCATTTAAAATCACCCAGGATGCTCATTGTTTGGATGGGTCAAATCTTCAAAATCAAATGGAAAAAGAAGCCTCTTGCGTAAGATAAAAGATAATGAGGAAAACATTTCACATAACCAAAGCATTAGAATGTTAAGTCACTTCATATTAGACCTTTCTACTGTTTCTTCATTGTTTGTTTCTGTTTTTTCCCAGTAATAAATTAGAGTTCTTTTTCCTGTGTGGAGCCTGGTTATGAAACCTTGCATAAGACTCTTCATGTTTCTGGGCCTTGGCTTTCTTATCTGTGAAATGAAGATGGAGGTCCCTTCCTGCTTTTCTGTGGTTCTGTGTGTACACATCCCTAAAGCTTTTAGAATACAAATATCCGCTGATTTGAAAAAACATTAGGAGTCATTTGAGCTTCCCACAGCTGGAGAATCATCCACGTACGATGTGATTCTTTTAAACAAGCTCTCTCAGTATTGATTTTTTCCTTTCCCCAAGAGCTCTGTAAAAATAGTGTTTTCTTGCCAGAGACATCAGGGCCTCAGAACTACTGACTTCCTTCTATGAACATATTATATGGTTTGTGTTTGGCTTAGGATCTCTTTAACAGACCATCCAGCTCCATTGTGAGAGGCTGACTCAGCAGAGCCCTCCAGACCGTCCAGCTCCACTGTGAAAGGCTGACTCAGCAGAACCCTCCAGACCATTCCCACTCTTCGGGATTAGAATGCCCTTCCCTGCCAGCCCGGGGCAGGCTAGGAGCTGGTGCTGCACCCATCTCCTGCATGCACCCTTGGGGGATGGCACACTGCAGCATTGCCTCCTTCTGTTCCCAGGACTCAATGTTGCCAAGTGCCACGTAGTCCAAGAATCCCGCCAGTTTGCTATAGGTGTCTTCCAGAGCCTGTCGTTAGGGCTCAGGTTGAAGCAGGTCTGTCACTTTTGTTCACAGCTTGTTCAGGGACCACCTCGGTGCTCTCAGCAATGTTCTCTCCCCTGCGCCTGGCTCCTGGCCTGTTCCCCACGTCTCCATCTTACCCTCTGGTCCACCCTAGTGTTTGCCAGAGATTCTCTTTCCCTTCCCCTTATTGAAATCCTGACATAATCCCAAAGGTTTTAGGAGTGTAAGATTCTACACGCATACCTCTTCAAGTGTTTTATTATGGAAATTTTTGAATATATTCAAAAGTAGAGGAAACAGTGTGGTCAGCCTCTATGTACCTGTCACTCAGCTTCACGATCTTATTTCATCTGCACCTCTTCCCGGTAACTTCATATTATTTTGAAGCAACATCCCCACGTGTCATATCATTTCTAGTTTTCTGTGTTAAAGAATCCCAAACTCCTCCCAGTTGACTGGAGAGAAAGGTGTCTGTGAATTCCCCTCCAGGTTGCATGTCACTTAGTCCAGCCACCTCTCTCATCTCCCAGGCTGCCGGTCAGCTTGGGAGTCGGTGTCCCTCCCCGTTCTGCTGCAGTCCCCTGCTGTGGGGCACTCGGCAGGAGAACAGGATCCTTTACGAGTGGGTAGCTTAGCTGAGAAGGGAAGGCTGTTTCAGGCAGGTCGGGGACAAGGCAGGAAAAGGAAAGGGTCTGGGTCACACCTCACTGTCGGGTCCGCTGGGCACACTCGCATTTGTCCTGAGTATCAGTCCCTACAGAACGAATAAGAAACTCCCCAGGACAAAAGGGCCTGATTCCTGGGATACCAAAGCTGTGACCTGACTTCCACTCCAGCCCCTCCCTTCCCCAGTAACAGGCGACACCGTTCTCCTGCGAGGGATTCAACGCCTCATCCTTTCTCCCTTTCAGATGCAGTGGCAGAACGTGGAGCACGTTGGTGACCAGAGCCCCTACGTCACCTCTGTCATTCTGCACATCAAGCAGAACGTCCCCATCATCCGTGACAACCTGGCTTCCACACGCAAGTACTTCACTCAGTTCTGCGTTAAATTTGCAAAGTAAGTCCTGGGGCGTGCTCATCTCTGGGTTCTTGTTCTTTTTAATAGACTTTATGTTTTAGAACAGTTTCAGGTTCACAGCCAAATTAAGCAGCAAGCACAGAGATTTCCCGTGTACCTGACCCCCCCAACATGCACAGTCTTCCCATTACCGACACCTCCCCACACACAAAGTGGCACATTCGTTACAGTGGATGAACCTGCATCAACACGTCATTATCACCCGGACTCTGACGTCGCGCTGGACATTCCCTCGGTTTGGACAAATGTACAGTGACGTGTGGCCGCCATTTCAGTGTCATACTCAACTGGGTTGTTTTTAAAACCATACTTCCCACCAGCATCCTCACAATTTGAGTGTCCCCACCATCCAGCTGCGGTTTGTTCTGGTGCCTGCAGTACTGATTTTAATTTGTACACAAAAGAAGCATAATCATAAAACTAAATCTGCTACTTAAAGTCATAGGCAACAGTAACAGCAGTACAATTGCCAGCCACGTCAAGGCAAACAAAAATGAATGGGGCCTACTGTTGTTTTGAACTGTGCAGGCATAAGCTCTCCTTGCCCAGGATTGGATAATTAAAATTCTTTTTCAGGGATTTCATATATGCATTTTGTTTCTCTGACTGGCTTAATAAATGCCTCTTAAGGGTAGGAGCCATCGGTTCTGTTTCTTTTGAGCCTTCTTGTCCTCCCTCCCCCTGGTATTTTTTACCATGGCTGCTAGAATTTATCTATTCATACTTGGACACACTCTTGGTCCGAGGAAGGCACTAGAAATTGGGATGCACAAGCCAGGGAGCTCCCTGGCCAAGGCAGGTGAGTGCACCCTGAGCCGTGTGTCTTCCTGCTGTGTCTTGTGTGTGGCCATTTCTGCCCTGAGTTTTGAAGCGAGGAAATAGTTTAGTTCTTTGCCGATCACCATCTGGCTTAGCACCATTTTCCGTGATACCAGGTGGTGGTGAGGGTCAGTGTCTCCTCTGACCAGTTATCAAGCAAGCATTTTGGCAGACTTCTCAGGGAAGGGCTTCAGGAGGGTCAGCCCAGGCCAAGCTACTGTATTTGGGTTGTTCCCATCCAGGCCCCAGCTGGTGATTCAGGACTCCAAGTTTCTGTCTTCCCCCAATCTCTCCCAGTTTCCCTGTACCTCACAAATGAACCCCTCAGGACTAACAATTATGGAGCGGCTTGTGGTGTCAGCTTTACTTTCTAGTTTGTCAAGAAAGGATAGAGTGGACTCTCCAGGGAGGCATTAATGTTTGCAGATGGCAGATGGACCAGGAGGTGAAATTCCCTCACTCTCTGGGTGCTCATTAGTGTGTTAGAAATGTTGCTGATAAATCACATCGTGACGCTCCCCATAACTGCTGGTAGAAGCAGTGTCTCTGTAAAAATTTACTGTGACTCAAAATCTCCAGGGTGGCTGCTCCGGGGTCTCATTGAGCTTACGTTAAAGTGAAGGAGGAGTCCGTTGACTTAGCCAGTCCCAGCGTCTCCCAGCTCAGTCATATGATTGAGCTTACATTAAAGTGAAGGAGGAGTCTGTTGACTTAGCCAGTCCCGGCGTCTCCCTGCTCAGTCATATGATTGAGCTTACATTAAAGCGAAGGAGGAGTCCGTTGACTTAGCCAGTCCCGGCGTCTCCCAGCTCAGTCATATGATTGAGCTTACGTTAAAGTGAAGGAGGAGTCGGTTGACTTAGCCAGTCCCAGCATCTCCCAGCATCAGCCTCACATTCTCTCAGAGCCCTTGAGTTTCATTGCTAAGCCCAGGTTGAGTGCGCTGGGAATTGGATGCCCCCCCTCACATCTGTAATCATTCAGCCTGGGATCTAGGAAGTGGTTTTCTGTTTTCATCCATGGTGCCTTCTCATCCTGCTAAAATCCCGCTTAACAGAGGTGGGCTTGTGAGGAGACCCTTCCCTGGTCAAGGGCAGCAGCCACCACCGCCCTGATGGCCCAGAGAAGCCCTTGGCAGTTACCCAGCACATTGCTTGGTTTTTTCCCCACAGGACGTGTGTCAGGTCCTCATACTCCCCCCATCGCCACCTGTAGACTAGTATAGAGAGCCAGTTCAGGGGCACAGCCAAAGGTTTTTTTTTTTTTTTTTGATACAGGGTCCCACTCTGTTACCCAGGCTGGAGTGCAGTGGTGCAACCACAGCTCACTGCAGCCCCCATCTCCTGGGCTTAGGTGATTCTCCCACCTCAGCCTCCTGAATAGCTGGGATTACAGGCGCTCGCCACCCGGCCTAGCTCATTTTTCTATTTTTTGTAGAGATGAGATTTTGCCATGTTGCCCAGGCTGGTCTCAAACTCCTGGGCTCAAGCAGTCCACCTGCCTGGGCCTCTCAGAGTGCTGGGATTATAGGCATGAGCTGCCATGCCCAGTCCGGAGCATGTTCTAATGTGAAGCAACTTAGGTTACAAAGCGCTGTGTGCACAGCTGCCATTGGTCATGAGTTCAGTTTCATGTTGCTTGTCTGGCTCTGGTTTCCAGCACTGAGGAATTCCTTCCAAATAGCCCCTTGTTTACTCTCCTTCCTGATCACAAGCCACCTCCAGATCCGATCTCCGGACTCCAGTTTCCTCTCCCTCAGCTTCCTTTCTACCCCACCCCTGCAAAACCATAGATGTTTCCTTTTACCTCGTTTGCTGTCTTAAGCAATAGCAGCCTTTCCTGTTGAGACATCAAAATCCACAGCCTGGTTGAAACTGCAGTTGAACCACAAGCAACTTCCCTCATCCACTGAGCTGATCCTCCTCCCTTCAATCAAGGAGATAATGAGACAAATCTCATAATAGTGGTTGGGAAGATAAAATGAGAAGTCACATATTAACTTCCTGGTAAAGTGCTGATACCAAGCTGACATTCAAAAAGTGGTAGGTGGCTGGGCGCGGTGGCTCACGCCTGTCATCCCAGCGCTTTGTGGGGCCGAGGCAAGAGGATCACTTGAGGCCAGGAGTTCGAGACCAGCCTGGCCAACATGGTGAAACCCTATCTCTACTAAAAATACAAAAATTAGCTGGGTATGCTGGTGCGTGCCTGTAGTCCCAGCTACTCAGGAGGCTGAGGCACCAGAATTGCTTGAACCCAGGAGGCAGAGGTTGCAGTGAGCCAAGATGGTGCCACTGTACTCCAGCCTGGGTGACAGAGCGAGACTCTGTCTCAAAAAAAAAAAAAAGTTTATGATTTACTCAATGTGCATTCACTTGAGCATCTCCTATGTCTCAGACCCAGAGTTAAATGTTTTGGCCTGATAAACATGGCCCCCATCTTCGTTTGCCTTAATAGTCAGGTGAAGCAAAATAGACATGTAAGCAAATGAGCATAATGAACTAGGTTAGATGTGAGGGTGGAGGCCTGCAGACTCCATGTAGAGTATGGCGAAGGCAGCAGAAGAAAGGCTTTCTAGAGACGCCGTTGAACAGGATCTGAGAGGTGCGTGTGTACTGACCCACAAGCCCCTTCTAGGAAAGGCAGTCCAGGCGAGGGAGCAGTGTAGGCATTAAATAGCCCCCAGAATCCTGGGATCTGCAAGTGGCTCAGTTGGGTTGAAGCATAGGGAGGCCAGGGCTTAGCAGGATGAGGCTGGAGACAGAGAATGAAGAATCAAGGAAGCCTGGCCCAGTGGCTCACGCTTGTAATCCCAGCACTTCCGGAGCCCAAGGGAGGAGGACTGCTTGAAGCCAGGAGTTTGAGCCCAGCCTGGGCAGCATAACGAAATCCTGCCTCTACAAAAAAATTAAAAAGTAGCCAGGTGCGGTGCCTGTAGCCCTTACATCCAGTCTGATTGGGCTAGCTTCGATCATATTCCCTCTCAGGACAAACAACAGTCACCAAAGGAATGCTGTGCTCTGACGAGCTGAGAATAGTTAGAGTTCACTGGGAGTCTAGGATGGGATCCGGTTTTCCCGGGCCTGCCAGGGCCTCATGTAACTAAACAAAACCAGGACTTCACTCAGAAGAAAAATAAGATAATGGGCAACAGTGGAGTCCACTTCGATTCTTCATTAAAAAAGGTTTTTTCATGGAGATACGTGGAACCTTAAAGTTTTTGCATTTCTTTCCTCAAGAGAGAATAAGCCTAATTTGTCACTTCTTTTTTATCCACAGCTCCTTCATTCCCAAATTCATCACCCACCTCTTCAAGTGCAAGCCAATTAGCATGGTGGGAGCAGAACAGGTGAGATGGACGTAGTATCAGGCATTTGCCTGGCAGCTTTTGTTGTAGATCAAGCACATATTCTTCTAGTCCAGATCTACTTGGCAGGAATAAAATTGATGATGTCCCCTGTTTGGGGACAGTATAATGACTCACCCGGAAGGTTTCTTAATTCGTTCTTCCATTTATTTTTAAAAATTTTGTTTGAACGCCTACTAAGTTCTGGGTGCAGGGTATAACACAGCAAGCACCATGGAAAGGTCCCTGCTCCTAGTGCTCACACTCCAATAAGAAGAAGTGGCTGGGCCGGGCACAGCGGCTCACGCTGTAACCCCAGCATTTCGGGAGGCCTGGGCAGGCAGATCACCTGGGGTAAGGAATTTGAGAGCAGCCTGGCCAACATGGTGAAATCCCATCTCTACTAAAAATACAAAAATTAGCTGGGCATGGGGGCAGGCTACTGGGGAGGCTGAGGCAGGAGAATCACTTGAACCCGGGAGGTGGAGGTTGCAGTGAGCCGATATCACACCACTGCACTCCAGCCTGGGTGACAAAGTGAGACTCCATCTCAAAAAAACAAACAAACAAAAAAACTAGCAAAAAACTTGGAATATTGGCCGGGCATGGTGGCTCACGTCTGTAATCCTAGCACTTTGGGAGGCCCAGGCAGGCGGATCATCTGAGGTCAGGAGTTCGAGACCAGCCTGGCTAACATGGTGAACCCTGTCTCTACTAATAATACAAAAAATTAGCCGGGCGTGATGGTGGGCGCCTGTAATCCCAGCTACTCGGGAGGCTGAGGCAGAATTGCTTCAACCCAGGAGGTGGAGGTTGCAGTGAGCTGAGATCACACCACTGTACTCCAGCCTGGGCAACAAGAGCGAAACTCCATCTCAAAAAAAAAAAAAAAAAAAAAACAATTAGCCAGGCGTGGTGGTGCATGCCTGTAATCCCAGCTACTTGGGAGGCTGAGACAGGAGAATCACTTGCAGGTGGAGGTGGAGGTTGCAGTGAGCTCAGATCACGCCACTGCTCTCCAGCCTGGGCAACAGAGTGAGACTCCATCTCAAAAAAAAAAAAAAAAAAAAAGAATAAATCCCAGTGATGGGAGGCTGAGATGGGAGGATCACTAGAGGCCAGGAGTTCAAGACCAGCCTGGGCAACATAGTGCAACCCTATCTCTCAAAAAAAATAAAACATTAGCTAAAAAACGGTCCACACCTGTAGTCCCAGCTGCTCAGGAGGAGGCTGAAGTCGGAGGATTCTTTGAATCCAGGCTGAAGTGAGCTATGATCGTGCCGCTGCACTGAAGCCTGGGCAACAGAGTAAGACACCATCTGCCCCACAAAAAAAAAAAGAGTCTTTTAATGATTATAGTAAGCTCAGACCCAAAGCCAATATCTTCAGAAAAATATCAGTTCATCCAGTGCTTACATCCATTATTGTTATTATTTTTTAACAAACCCACAGCCAACATCCTATGTTTACTTCCGTTTTGAGGTGTGGATGAGAAAACCATCTGCTGGAACTGGAGTTTTACTTAATCAGACCCCAGGCCAGTTCAGGTGGGCAGTAGGGGAGTGTGGATCTTGACAGGCCCAGAATGGGGAGGGTGTGGGTGGGAACTACAGGGCAACGTGGCCCCTGAACGATTCTCACATGAGTTGAGGTTTGGCTGGGCCTGTACTTGCCCTGATGTCTGGGCCTTGAAACTCAAGCAGCCATGTAGCTGCAGGCGTGTTCACTCAGGCAGCAGAACCATCAGAATCAAGTTAACTCAGCAGTGTTCATAGACTGAAACAGACGCTGCCTCCAGTAGTGGAGCAGCTGCCATCCAAACTTGAACAAAAGCTATGGCATTGGAAGCTAAGATTTAGCCCAACCTCAGCTGTGTCTGCCTTGCCACAAGGGTGCCAGATCCTAAATTAGGTTTTGCTTTAATACTTATGCTGAAAATGGGATGGGAGACATTTTTCTGCTCTTTGTTCTCTGAGTACTATATAAAGTGAGTTCTTTATCTTTGGGCCCCAGAGTCCTCGAGCAATTGCAAGGGCACGTGGAACTGACCCACACCAATATTGATCATGCTTCTTGCTAGTTTATGATCTTCAGATCATCCTGTTTTGCAGGGTCACTAATTATTCTTATGACTGCGTTCACCTATGAAAGCTTTTCTTTCCCTTGAGATTAAGGATAAGAGGAGAATGTCCGCTGTCACCATTTCTATCCCACGTTGTTGTTGAAGTCCTGGCTAGGACAACAAGGCAAAAAATACAATATTTTTAAAAGAAACAAAATATATACAGATTAGAAAGGAGGAAACTAAGCTGTCATTTTTCATGGAAAATATGATTATGAGTAATAAATCTAAAAGGATCTACAGATAAACTGTTAGAATATAAATTTAGCAGGCCGGGTGCAGTGGCTTACACCCTTAATCCCAACACTTTGGGAGGCCGAGGCGGGCGGATCACAAGGTCAAGAGTTAAAGACCAGCCTGACCAACACAGTGAAACCCCCGTCTCTACTAAAAATACAAAAATTAGCTGGGCAAGGTGTGGTGCGCCTGTAATCCCAGCTGCTCGAGAGGCTGAGGCAGGAGAATTGCTTGAACCTGGGAGAACTGCTTGAACCTGGGAGGTTGCAGTGAGCTGAGATTGCGCCACTGCACTCCAGCCTGAGTGATAGAGACTCCGTCTCAAAAAAAAAAAAAAAAAAAGAATATAAATTTAGCAAGGTTGCTGGCTATAAGGAAAGTGTTTTAAAATATATTTCTATATACCAGCAGCAAACAATTTAAAAATGAACATTTTTGAGTGAAATACTTTTTTTTTTTGCTGTATTGCCCAGGCTGGAGTGAGTACAGTGGCACAATCATAGCTCACTGCAGTCTCAATTCGTGGGCTCAAGCCATCCTCCTGCCTCAACTTCTCAAGTATCTGGGACTACAGGAATGTACTACCATGCCTGGCTGGCTCTTTTTTTTTTTTTTTGGTAGATATAGGGTCTGCCTCCCTGTGTCTCCCAGGCTGGTCTCAAACTCCACCCTCCTCAGCCTCCCAAAGTGGTGCGATTACAGGCGTGAGCCATGGCTCCCAGGCCTAAATGAAATCATTTACAATAACATCAGGAAACATTAAATACCTAGGAGTAAATTAAAAATGTACAAGTCTTCTACACAGAAAACTGTACAATATTAAGACACAGAATCCATAAAGACCTTTAAAATGACAGGATAGCTCATGTTCATTGATAAGAAAGACTCAAAAAGAAATACATATGGAGTCTTTCTGAGCCTGCTCTGGCTGAGGAGGCTGCCCAATAAAAAATAAATAACAATTTAAAAAGCGGCAAATTATTCCAAAATTAATCTATAGATAGAATTCAATCCTAATTACTGTATCAATTTATCTATAGATACAGTAGAATCCCAGCAGGGGTGTGTGTGTGTGTGTGTGTGTGTGAGTGTGTGTGTGTGAATTGATATGCTGATTTTAAAAGTTAGATGAAAATACAGAAGACAACAGCCAAAATAATCTTAGAACAGAATTGGAGGAGTTAAAGCTCAGGATATCAAGACTTATTGCAGCAGTATTGTAATTAGAGCAGTGTGGCACTGGCCCCAGGGACAAAGAGGCCAACAGAACAGATCTGAGCTGAGGGATAGACCCACACATGTGTAGATACTTGATTTATGACCAAAGTGGCATCATTCAAAGAGAGTCTTTTCAGTAAATAGTGCTGGGTAATTGGATATCCATATCGGAAAAAAATCTTGACCTTTGCCACACACCATATATAAAAATCAATTCCAAAGAGGATTTGGTGAAATTAGAACACTCATACATTGCTGGTGGTAATGCAAAACGGTACAGCCATTTTGGAAAACAGTTTGGCATTTACATAGAGTTACCACAGGGCCCAGCAATTATACTCCTAGATATATACCCAAATGAATTGAAAAAGGCAGGGTGCATGGTTCACACCTGTAATCCCAGCACTTTGGGAGGCTGAGGCAGGCAGATCACCTGAGGTCAGGAGTTCGAGACCAGCCTGGCCAACATGGTGAAAACCCACTTCTACTAAAAATACAAAAATTAGCTGTACATGGTGGTGTGCACCTGTAACTCCAGCTACTCGGGAAGCTGAGGCAGGAGAATCACTTGAACCTGGGAGGCAGAGATTGCAGTGAGCCAAGATTGCGCCACTGTACCTTCAGGCTGGGTGACAGGGTGAGACTCTGTCTCAAAAAAAAAAAAAAAAAAAAGAATTGAAAAAAAAATGTGTTCACACAAAAGCTTGTACACAAATATTCATAGCAGCACCATTTATAATAGCCAGAAAGTAGAAACAACTCAAATGTCCATCAGCTGATGATAAACAAAATGTGGTCTATCCATACAAGGGAATATTACTCAGCCATTAAAAGGAATAAAGTACCCATTCATGCTACAACATGGAAGAGCCTTGAAACCATGTTAAGTGAAAGAAGCCAGACACAAAAAGCCACCTATTGTGTGACTCTGCTTCTGTGAAATGTCCAGAACAGGCAAATCCGTAAAACAGAAAGTGGATTAATGGTTGGCAAAGGCTGAGGGAGGGGGAGATGGGAATGGCTGCTAATGGGTAAGGGTTTCTTTCTGGGGTGATAATGTGTTCTGAAACCAGATAATGCTGACAGCTGTACAACCTTGTGAATAGACCTTAAAAACCACTGAATTGTACACTTCCAAAAGGTAAATTTTATGGTTTTTGAATTATATCTCCATTTTTAGAAAATTAATCCCAGATGGATTATGGCTCTAAAAAATAAGGCAATAAAGCTTCTGGAAGATTTAATATAAGACAATATGTTTATGACCTTGGGTTAGGCAAAGATCCCTTAAACAAAACATTAAAAGCACTAACCATAAAAGAAAAGATTGGTTATTTTGAGTACTTAAAAGACTTTGGCCAAGTGCGATGGCTTGTGCCTGTAATCCTAGCACTCTGGGAGGCTGTGGCAGGAAGACTGCTTGAGCTCAGCAGTTTGAGATCAGCCTGGGCAACACAGCGAGACCCCATCTCTACAAAACAATTTAAAAATTAGCCAAGTGTGGCACGTGCCTGTAGTCCTAGCCACTCGGGAAGCTGAGACAGGAGGATCAGTTGAGCCAAGGAGTTCAAGGTTGCAGTGAGCTATGATTGCACCACTGCATTCCAGCCCAGGTGACAGAGTAAGACCCTGTCTCTAATCATAATAATAATTTAAAAGAGTGATGATACCAAGTGTTGGTAAGGATGTGGAGCATCTGGAACTTTCATATGTGCTGGTAGAAATGGAAGTTAGCCCAGCCACATTGGAAAACTCCTAGGCAGTTAGCCAAACATATGCCTACCCCATGATCCAGCAGTTCTACTCTTGAGTAGCTTCCACCCTAGAGAAATGAGGACTTTATGACCACCAAAGGCATGCGCACGAATGTTCACAGCAGGTTTATGAGCAGGAAACAAGCTACAGTGAGAGAGAGCAGGAGAGACGAATGTTCACAGCAAGTTTATGAAGCAGGCAACTAGCTACAGTGAGAGAGAGTAGGAGAGACGAATGTTCAGAGCAGGTTTATGAGCAGGCAACTAGCTACAGTGAGAGACAGCAGGAGAGTTTGTTGAGAGGGAAAGGAGAGCATTGACTGGACGAGAGCATGAGGAAGGCTTCAGGGATGCCAGAAGTGTGCTCTGTCTTCCGTTAGGCAGCAGGATGTGCACATGTCTGGATGTTGATCAAATGGCATACGTGGTGTTTGTGTACTCTGTGAAAGTTATACCTAATTTTTTTAAAAAGAAAAAGAAATAGAACATGTGTCCACCTTGTTCCATCCCTCCTGATAGCCTGAGCTGTCTCCCCTGTGCCACCTCATTGAAGAATTTTCTATGGTGGGACCAATATGGTTCACCTATGTGGTTTTGTTCACATGGTTCTTTGTCTTCTAGGAGTGTGGGCCTGTATCTTATTTACGCAAAATTTTCATCACTGTTGATAGTCATCATGTCCCCAAGAATTGTAGGAGGCTCCTCGGGAAGTAAAGGGCCCCTCTCAAAGATTTCCATTGCTGGGTGATCAGCCTTCACAGGCATGGCATACTGGCCACCCTTGCACCCCCACATCCCATCAACAACATTAGCCAGCCCACACTGCCCCAGAAATTATCGCTGAGGCAGAAATGAATGTGGCAATAGCCACCCCTTGCCCAATGTCTCATGCCTAAGAAGATGAATTATCAACTATTTCAAAGTTGAAAACTAGCAGATTTTCATGATAAATGGGACCTTTCTGTCTTGTCTTTGCACAGACAGCCGCCAAATCTGTCAGGCTCATTCCCGCCTTTTCTGACTGCCTTGCTTTATGTATAAAACCTGAGACCAGGGTTTTCACCTCTCAGTGTCTGGTAAAGACAGAATTTTATGGTGACTGGCCAGGGAATGAAAGTGTCATATCTCCCTGTATATGAGGGACACTAGAGAATTATGCCTGGTGCATTCAAACCCTTCCTGTCATTTAAGACTGTACAATTATTTATGCATATAATGTATCTCTGGGAAGTAGAAAAGTAGGAAATATCTCCATATGCTTTAAAATATAATGACTGATTTTTTTTTTCCTACCAACAAATGAATGCTAAGACATGGCTTTGATTTTGACAAGGCTCTCAAAATTTGCTACATGGAAGACAGAGTTGAGTCCTGAATGGTAGTCTTTAAACAAAAATTCCAGTTAATTAATGTACAGAAAATAATGTAAAAAACAGTAACTAACTACTCAGCTCAGCAAAATATGTAACATGTTTCCACATTTACTTTACATCTTTTTTTTTTTTTTTTTTTTTTTTGAGAAAATGTCTCACCGTGTTGCCCAGTCTGGAGTACAATGGCGCGATCTCGGCTCACTGCAACCTTCACCTCCCGAGTTCAAGCAATTCTCCTGCCTCAGCCTCCCGAGTAGCTGGGATTACAGGTGTGCACCACCATATCTGGCTAATTTTTGTATTTTAGTAGAGATGGGGTCTCACCATGTTGGCCAGGCTGGTCTCAAATTCCTGACCTTAAGTGATCCTCCCACCTCAGCCTCCCAAAGTTCTGGGATTGCAGGCATGAGACACCGCGCCTGGCCCATTTTTTTTTTCTTTTCTTAAGAGACAGGGTCCCACTCTGTCTCCCAGGCTGGGGTGCAATGGTGCCATCATAGCTCACTGCAACCTGGAATTCCTGGGCTTAAGCCATCTTCCCACCTCAGCCTCCTAAGTAGCTGAGACTACAAGTGTGTGCCACTGTGCCTGTCTAATCTTATTATTTTTGTTTTTGTAGAGACAAGGTCTCACTGTGTTGCCCAGGGTAATCTTGAATTCGTAGCCTCAAGTGATCCTTCTGCCTCAGCCTCCCAAAATGCTGGGATTACAGGCATGAGCTGCCACACCCTGCCTGCTTTAGATCATTTTTATGTAAAGTAAATCATTACAGTTATTGCTGAAGACCGCCCCCATGAACCCCACCCTGCCCATCTCTTCCTCCATGCCCCAAAGTAAACACTGTCCTGATTTTGATTTTATTCTCATATGTGTTTTGATATATGTGTATATATTCACAAATGATATATGATTTTGTTTTGCATATTTTAAAACTATATAAATGGCATTAGACATATCATTTCCCCACTTGCTTTTTTTTGCCCAACTTACTATTTTCTGAGATTTATGCATGTTAATGCATGCTGTGTGCACCCATTCATTTTCACCTCAGCAGCATATTCCATTGCACGAATGTGCTGTCATTTGTTTATTCATTCCACTGTCAATGGACGTGTAGGTTGTTTCCAAACTTTTGCTTTTATAAATAGCGGATGCAGGGAACGTTTTTACATGGGCAAGAATTCCTCTAATGGATATAAGTATTAATGCTGTGTTATGGGTGATACACATCTCCAGCTAAGGAAATGTTGCTAAATTTCCCCCAACGTGCTTGAACTAACTTCTACTGTCACCACTAGTCTGAATTTCAGTGTGGCCGTGCCCACACTAGATTATCAACCTGTTTACTTCTGACTCTGATGGGTGTATTACGGTGTACATTTGTGAATTTCAGTGCCATGGCCGTGCCCACACTTGATTATCAAATAATCTGTTTACTTCTGACTCTGATGGATGTATTATGGTGTACATCTGTGGTTTTAATTTGCATTTCCCAGTTACTAACCAGGTTGCGTGTCATTTCATATGCCTTTCGGGCATTTGAGTTTCCTCTTTTGTGAATCCGGTGTTAGTATTGTTTGCCTGTTGTTGTGTCGCTGTTGGGATAGTTTGTGCTTTTCCTGTTGATGTGTAGGAATCTTCATGTTCGGAACCCCGTTCCCTTGTCAACGTTGCACGTATCTTCTCCTGATTTATGTCTTGTCTTTTACTTTGTTTGTTTCTTCTGATATAGATGCCTTTCATTTTAGGGTAGGTGGTTCATTCTTTCTGATGTTTGACATTCTTCTCCACCCATAAGCAATGAAAATAATCTCTGTATTTTCTTCTTCTTCTTCTTTTTTATTTTTTATTTTTTATGTATTTATTTTTTTGAGACAGTGTCTTGTTCTGTCACCCAGGCTGTAGCGCAAACCTCCCAGGTTCAAGCAATTCTCCTGCCTCAGCCTCCCGAGTAGCTGGGATTACAGGCATGCGCCACCACACCCGGCTAATTTTTGTATTTTTAGTAGAGATGGGGTTTCTCCATGTTGGCCAGGCTGGTCTCGAACTCCTGACCTCAGATGATCCACCCGCCTCGGCCTCCCAAAATGCTGGGATTACAGGCATGAGCCACTGCGCCCTGTATTTTCTTCTTAAAGTTTTTCTTTTTTATATCTAAGAATTTAATCCACCTAGAATGCTTTAGAGGCTTGTTCTGGGTTCCTCCGAGGAAAAGCAGCAGTCATTTCCACTGGAATTCTGGAAAGTGCGCTAACGCCAGGCTCTTCACGTG
This sequence comes from Homo sapiens, assembly GCF_000001405.40. Lineage (NCBI taxonomy): Eukaryota > Metazoa > Chordata > Mammalia > Primates > Hominidae > Homo > Homo sapiens. The sequence continues at coordinate 83,345 of NW_017363817.1, read as the reverse complement.
GGCCTTGAGCAATCAGTGCCATTCCCCCTCCTGGAGGTTTGCATACCCTTTTCTCTGAGCCCTTGGCCTTTTCAACAAAGCAGACACTAGGATAGTAAGAATTTCTATCTCTAGAAATCCAGAAAGGTCCAAAATGCCCTGCACTTTGCTGGCTACAGTTGAATGACCTGCGTGGTGCAGGCCTTTGACTAGCTGCATGAAATTGCTCTGACCTTAGTGTAATTCCTTACCACACCTAAATTATTCCACATAAAACACTGACGTCTTCCCCATGTTTCTACCATTGTTAAAATTACAATTGCCATAACCCTTAAGTTCATAGTATCTGTCGTTACTTAGTTTCTCTTTAATCATTAATTCTTCTGTCCAAAGCAAAGTAAATAGGAAATTGGAGGATGCAAAGTGTCGCAGGGCCTGAAGGGTCCCATTTCTCACCTACCTGATAGGATTACAGAAGGCTTTCCCAAAGAAGCAGGCAGTGGCAGAGAGTACAGGCCTTGCCCTGAATATAAGTTTGGCCGTTATCACCGGAGTTGAGTGGTGGCATTGGGAGCTGTCACCCCACTGCTGCCGTTGTCTGCTTGGTGACCATGTGGTTCCATTCTCCTAAGCCATCTCAACAGGCCAGAGTACACCCTTCTGTCTTCAGCCATTTCTCTGCTCCCTGGTTGCCAAGAGCAGCGGCGGCAGCAGAGCAGGGCAGTCAGCAGGAGTCAGTGTGAGCTCGTCACCAAAACCACCCAGGGACATTTACCTGGGCAACCGGAAATGGAATTCCAGCTTCCCTTCCACCTTTTGTCTAACCCCGTTACCTGGGCAACCGGAAATGGAATTCCAGCTTCCAGTCCACCTTTTCTCTAACCCCGTTACCTGGCAACCGGAAATGAATTCCAGCTTCCCGTCCAACTTTTGTCTAACCCCGTCCGTTGCATGAGATGAGTTTGGTGAGCTGTTAATCCTCTGGAACTTTTTCTCATCTGTAAAATGGGAACAATAAATAACATCCAGGGTAGGTAAGGCTTTACTCAGATTAAATGTGACAAAACGTTCCTCATGTCATTCCCGGCAGTCAGTGAGCCTTTAGGACTATGGGTGTCCTTCTAGATAATTGGCATCCCAGAGAACCAGAACAAACAAAGAGGAAAAGGTAGATTGTTGCCAGGATACAATGTTTACATTTGGGTAAATCTCCTACATCCTCAGTAACATCCAGAGAAATTCAAAGTAAAACAATAATGAGTTACTATTTTTTGCCTAATGAATAATCAGGATTTGATGAGTTTTCAGTGCTGATAAGGGTGCAGTCTGCATGGCTGGCAGAGGTGTAAATGGGTCCATTCCATTGGAAAGATCTTAAAGTTTACACAACCACACACATCACAGAGTACTGCACAGCCATTAAATCACGATTCTTCTTTAGAGATGGGGTCTCGCCATGAGGCCCAGGCTAGAGTGCACTTAAAAACCTTGATTTGTTTTTTAAAGACTGCAAAGATGGGAAAATAGAATATAAAAATTGTGTATATTAAGTGAGAAAACCAGGTTATAAAATTGAATATACATACAGTATGATTCTGATTTAGTTTTATGGAGGAGTTGTGGTTTGTTACTGAGGCAGGGTCTCCCTCTGTCACCCAGGCTGGAGAGTTACAGTGGCACAATCTTGAGTCACTGCAGCCTCAACCTCCCAGGCTTAAGCGATCCACCCACCTCAGTCTTCCTCAGTAGCTGGGACCACAGATGCGCACCCCCACGCCTGGCTAATTTTTGCATTTTTTGTAGAGGCGGGGTTTTGCCATGTTGCCCAGGCTGGTCTCAAATTCCTGAGCTCAAGCGATCCTGCTGCCTGGCCCTCCTGAAGTGCTGGGATTACAGGTGTGAGCCACGGCTCCTGGCCCCCTGATTTAGTTTTTTATATACGTACACATAGGCTGGCTCCTTGATGTTGTTTCTCCTAGGTGATGGGAATTATACATAATTTTTTTCTTTTATATTTCTGTTTATTTCCCCAATTTTTTGCAACAAGAATGTGTTACGTGTATAACGAGAAAAACATGACTCATCGGCATGAGTCCACTCGGCACTGGGTCGCTGGAAGGGGCCGGTAATGCTCTCTGCTTTGCTCCACAGCTGCTGCTGGACACCCACTCGCTGAAGATGGTCCTGCTCGATCTCCCCTCCATCAGCTCGCAGGTGGTGAGGAAGGCACCCGCCAGCTACACCAAGATCGTTGTCAAAGGCATGACCCGGGCTGAGATGATCCTCAAGGTGATGGCTTGTGTTAAAAGGGGCCAGTTATTTATTTAATCTCTTTTTCTGAGAAGCCTTGGTTTTGAAAGCACAGGGTAGGTCCTATCCTCACCGGCCTCAAAGCATGGTCCACATTCTTGGGCTGGACTGGATTTTGGCCTCATCAGATATTGTTGAAAGTCTGTGGATAGTTATTAGGGCTCAGTAATTCCTTCTGACAAATGAATTTCTTGTTGGCGTGGGATTCTCTTGTGATCAAATGTGGTCAAGCTTGGAGGTTAGGTGGTTGCCACTGTGAATCAGTGTATGTCAGGGATCTCCGCTTCTCAGCAGGAATTTCAGGCACAGCTCTCAGTTACTCCCTTCCACATCAGCCTTTTTGGCTTTCTGTACTCTGCCACTTTAAATGAACTCTGAACAGATGTTGTAGTAACTGAATCTAATCAGCAAATGGATATTTTAAAGCCCCATTTAACAAGACTGTACTTCGAGTGAGGAACGTCTGAAGCCCTGCGCATCTGCCTCTGGTTTCCAGCTATTTTGAAGAGTAGGGATGAGGGCTGGAGAACAGATGGTCCTGTGGTGATGTGGTCTTAAAAGCCCAGGACCTGTAGGCTCTTCAGGCCACTTCCTAAACCAGATGACTCAGGGACGGCAGGAGTAGGAAGTGGCAGCAGGGCCTCAGACACCGGTGGGATGTGGGTGAGGATGAAGCAGCTCATGTAGGTAAGGGTGAAGAGCTCATGTAGGTGAGGGTGAAGAGCTCATGTAGGTGAGGGTGAAGCAGCTCATGTAGGTGAGGGTGAAGCAGCTCATGTAGGTGAGGGTGAAGAGCTCATGTAGGTGAGGGTGAAGCTGCCTCATCATGTTCTTTCCCTGCTGCTTACTGCTGGGGAGGAGAGCCTGTGGTCTGGGAATTATCGGCAGAGGATGCCTGAGTGAACTCCTCCTCGCCACTCTTCCCTTCAGTCTCAGGAATTCAAAACAAATCAGTCGGCTGGGGAAAGAAAATCAGATACTGCATTCCAGAACAAAACGGAAATGAATAAGGGTTGCAGTGCCGTTCCTTTCCTTTGTTTGTATGTTAATTGATAGTTTAAGTTAGTCGTTACATGAAGTTACAGATTTTAAGTCTCCAAAAGGTGAGGCAGCTTTGGCATTTTTGTTTTTGCAGAAATCCACTTACTTATACCAGCTCCTTTTGCCACCCATTTCTCAGGAATCATAGTACGTCAAGGCAGAAGGAGCAAGTACCGTGTACTGGTGAAATGCCTGGAACAGGAGACCCTCTCACGCAGGGTTTCCCGGATGGTCCTGATAGTTTAAAAGTCACCTGGGACTCCAGCCAGGCCTACTGAATTAGAGTCTTTAGAGGAGGGCCCCGGAAACCCATACTTCAAACAGCAGCGCAGGTGTATTTAGGATTCAGCAAATTTAGGACATTGCTGTAGTGGCATGTGAAGATGAGATGGGCCACTGGGGCGTTTCTAGTCTGGGTTGCTGCTGCTTAAGGAAACCTCTCAGAATCCATTTAGCGCTCGGCGGGCAAGTGAGGAGTGAGTTTTCCTGAAGGGCCCGCTCCCGTCTCCTCCTGCGGTGGGTAGTGAGTTTTCTTGAGGGCCCGCTCCTGTCTCCTCCCGTGGTGGTAGTTTTCCTGAGGGGCTTGCTCCTGTCTCCTCCCGCTGTAGGTAGTGATGGCCCCTCATGAACCGTTGGTGGTGTTTGTTGACAACTACATCAAACTTCTCACAGACTGCAACACAGAAACCTTTCAGAAGATACTGGACATGAAGGTTTGTGCCGGGACATTTGGTCCACACCTGCTCATCCCCCTCACACTCAGCGGTTCTTAACCGGGAATTGGGATATAAGTTCCGGGGGGGCTTTCTCAAAATGCATGTGCCTGGCTCCACAGAGCAAACCGGATTCAGAGAAGCCTCTGGAGGAGGATGGCCCCGGGCACGTGCACTTCAGGATTCTGACAGGCCCTGCATGCCCCGCTGAGACCACCTGCACAGGGAGGATGGGGCAGGGGCAGGGGGATGAGGACAGGCATGTTGTCCTTCCCACCTTCTTGACCTGTCCTTTCTCCTCTGTCAGCCGCTTCTTTCCCTTCCTTTACCTTTTCTTCCCCTCTCTTTTCCTCCCACGCTACTACCCAGGGGATGGTGAGTCCCTTGAGGAAACGGTTCATCCTCAGCCTGGAGTAACTATGCTGTCTCCAGAGCCTCTGCTGACCCCATATCCAGATACTGCGCTGTCCCCCGTGGGCCATTCTGGCCCAGACTTCGTGACGGTTCTGTTTCTCTCTCAACCTCAGGGGCTGAAGAGGAGTGAGCAGAGCAGCATGCTGGAACTCCTGCGCCAGCGGCTCCCCGCACCGCCCTCGGGGGCAGAAAGCTCCGGCTCACTGTCCCTGACGGCGCCAACACCAGAGCAAGAGTCGTCACGCATCCGCAAGCTCGAGAAACTCATTAAAAAGAGACTGTAGCAGCAGCAAGGGGCCCTTTGCTCCTGGCTGGAGACCCTCAGCGCCCGTTCCCCAGAAGCCCCCAACCTCTCCTGTGCTCCCCGGCACTCTCACATCGTCGGTCTTCAAACTTCCTGGGACATGTGGGTTGTTACTGAGTCTCTCCCATGCCCTGTCTTACTTCCTGCCCTAATCGGAGACGCTGAGTAAGGGCTGGGCTCTAAGAGGGCGATTTAGGTGATCTCTGGTTCGTGAAGCAGAGGCAGCAGTGGAGGATAGGTCCCTGAGCTGCCCTTGACTCATGTAGCCTCCCCATGGCAGTCACACCCTCTTGACACGTGGGCCCCACCCGTCCTTTTTTTTTTTTTTTTTTTTTTTTTTTGAGACAGAGTCTCGCTCTGTCACCCAGGCTGGAGTGCAGTGGCGTGATCTCGGCTCACTGCAACCTCCGCCTCCCAGGTTCAAGCAATTCTCCTGCCTCAGCCTCCTGAGTATCGGATTACAGGCGTGAGCCACCGAGCCCAGCCCCTTCCTCCATTTCTTTACTCCCACCCTGCTCCTGGTTTCTAGGGAAGGGAAACCAGGAAGTTCACTTGGAAGACGTTTCCTAGGTTTTCTCATCAGATGAAGCCATGGGAACGCCCAGGAAGTCCATACTCTCAAACCCCTTTCTGCCCACTCACCTTCAGGTCCACAGCACTTTCCAGCGTCATCTGAAATAGCAAAGGTGATGTGCAGCATCCCAGTGATGTGTTCCTGTGTTATGAGAAGGAGTCTGGGGTTCTGGATGCCTCAGGAACAGAATATGGACCTTAAAGACCAGGCTGAGAGCCTGGCCTGGCACGCAGCCTGCCCGCCCCCCCCGCCCTTCCTGTCCACCGCGGGCTCTCTGCAGCAGGGCTTGCCGAAGAGACTGCTCCCGACCTCTCATGTCATCCTGCATCCAGAGAATGGCAGCATATCAAGCCGTTAACCCTGATTCACTCGGTTCCCTTGAAACCAGGCCTCAGTTAACCATGACCACAGCTACAGGCAAACCGCTGCTGTTGCTGCCTGCTTTTGCTGAAGAATGATATCTTGCCAGGCACGGCGGCTCATGCCTGTAGTCGCAACACTTTGGGAGACCAAGGCAGGAGGATCACTTGAGTCCAGGAGTTTGAGACCAGCCTGGGCAACATACAGATGTCTACAAAAATAAAAATTTGCAAGGTGTGGTGGCATGCACCTGTAGTCCCAACTGCTAGGGAGGCTGAGGTGGGCAGATTGCTTGAGCTCAGGAGTTTGAGACCAGTCTGGGCAACCTGGCAAAACCAAAAATACAAAAAATTGGCTGGGTGTGGTGGCTCATGCCTGTAATCACAGCACTTTGGGAGGCTGAGGCAGGTGGATCACCTGAGGTCAGGAATTCGAGACCAGCCTGCCCAACATGGCGAAACCCTGTCTCAACTAAAAATAAAAAAAATTAGCCGGGTGTCATGGCGAGTGCCTGTAATCCCAGCTACTGGGGAGGCTGAGGCAGGAGAATCACTTAAACCCGGGAGGTGGAGGCTGCAGTGAGCCAAGATTTCACCACTGCACTCCAGCCTGGGTGACAGAGCAAGACCCCTTCTCAAAAAGTTTTCAGGATAGAGGAAATTTCCTTAAAATCCATAAAACTTGTAACAGCCGTACAGTAGGAATAAGGTTTGGAAATCTGCCTGGAAACCTGATTTCCTCATCCCCACCTTGTTTCCCAACATAACCACTGCTCTGTGCCCCTGCCCTCTCTGCCAGGCTTTCTCCCCGATGCCGTCCAGCTCTGATCCTGAGTGTCATTTCTTCATCGGCTTCCAGGCTGTCCTTGCTAGCTGGTTTGACTCTCACGCATCAAGCGTCTCAAATTTGAGAATGCGGAGGAGAAAAGAAGTGTTGCGAGAAGGAGATGCGGCCTTCAGTTGAGGTCTATTAGGAAAAGATTCCAAATAAGACAAGGGCGGGGGGCGGCAGTCGGGAGAGCCCCCAGGAAGCCCTGTAGATGCCCCCACCCCAGCCCATGGAGTTGCTATGGTTAAGCAGCCTGAGCCGTACAGTTGAAAAGGGGCGGTGGGGCCCATCTCCAAATAGCACAGCCAGTTCAGCCGTCTGTCCTCAACCCAGGAGAGCTGGGAAAGCCAGTGGACTCCTGCACCTGGTTCTTGTCACTCCTGGCGTTTGTGTACAGATCACCACTTCTCTTTTTGGTTCATTGTTGAGGAGTCGTTTTCCGGACGGCTCCATCACAGCATTGAGCTATCAAGCTGCTGTTTTCCACAGTTGGTGGTCACAGCCAGGGAAGTTGCTGTCTTGATTTGTTACATTGTCAGTAATCCCCAAGGAACCAATGGATGTCAGTAGGAGTTTCTGTTAAATGTCTCCTTGATGGGGACTCAGTACTGTGTAGAGACGCTGTGTTTCTCTTCTGGGGGTGTGCATCAGAACCACTGGGGCCTTTTAAAATCTACAGATGCCGGCCGGGCGCCGTGGCTCACGCCTGGAATCCCAGCACTTGGGGAGGCTGAGGCGGGCGGATCACAAGCGCAGGAAATTGAGACCATCCTTGCCAATATGGTGAAACCCCATCTCTACAAAAAATACAAAAATTACCGGGGTGTGGTGGCGTGCACACCTCCCAGCTACTTGGGAGGCTGAGGCAGGAGAATCGCTTGAACCCGGGAGGCAAAGATTGCAGTGAGCCGAGATCACGCCACTGCACTCCAGCCTGGCGACAGAGTGAGACTCTATCTCAAAACAAACAAAAAAACAGATGCCCGGAGATTTTGAGTCAGTAAGTTTGGATGGGGCCTGGCATACAGGTTTAAAAGTTCCATAGGTAGTTATAACGTTTACACCTTGTTAAGAACCACTGCAACAGAGAGATTTGCTTTATGGAAGGGCTCCTGCCACGCATTTTCATACATGTCTATTTTTCTGACTCTAAGCTAAAAGTGCGCCGACACTACACTTGAGCTGGTGCCAACGTGGTGAAGATTCTCTACTGATAACAGCTTTCATTTTAAACTTGTGTTGGGTCAGGCGCGGTGGCTCACGCCTGTAATCCCAGCACTTTGGGAGGCCGAGGTGGGCGGATCACATGAGGTCACGAGTTTGAGACCAGCCTGGCCAACATGGCAAAATCCCATCTCTACTAAAAATACAAAAAAAAAAAAAAAAAAAGCAGGCAGGTGGCGGGTGCCTGTAATCCCAGCTACTTGGGAGGCTGAGGCAGGGGAATCAGTTGAATCCGGGAGGCGGAGGTTGCAGTGAGCCGAGGTCCCGCCACTGCACTCCAGCCTGGGAGACAGAGTGAGACTCAGTTAAAAAAAAAAGACTTTTGGTGGTGGTGGGGACCATGCCCAGGATTGGGCTCTCTCCATACTGATGAGGATTCTTCTTGTTTTGATGACCAACCCCCAAGCAGAAGCTTTATTTATTAACATCACTTCAAAAATAACGTATCAAAGGGGCACCCTAGGCCGGGTACTGTGGCATCACACCTGTAATGCCAGTGCTTTGAGAGGCTGAGGTGGGAAGATTGCTTGAGCCCAGGACTTCAAGACAAGCCTGGGCAACAGAGTGAGACCCCATCTCTATTAAAAAATAGGCCGGGCATGGTGGCTCACACTGGTAATCCCAGCACTTTGGGAGGCCGAGGCAGGTGGATCATGTGAGGTCAGGAGTTCGAGACCAGCCTGGCCGACATGGTGAAACCCTGTCTTTACTAAAAATACAAAATTAGCCAGGCGTGGTGGTGGGCGCCTGTAATCCCAGCTACTCAGGAGGCTGAAGCAGGAGGATCGCTTGAACCCAGGAGGCAGAGGCTGCAGTGAGCCGAGATCATGCCATTGCACTCCTGCCTGGGTGACGGAGCAAGACTCTCTAAAAAATAATAAGGTAAAAGGAGTACCTGTGGATGAAAGCAGCAGCTAACAGCTCTGTGATTCAGCTAGACCTAGATATTGTGCCCATTCCTTCCCCTCAGTCCATTTTCTGTAGCCCCTTTAAAAACCAAAAAACAACTTTGAAGTCACTTTGGGTTTAAAATAAATAGTGGTAATTTGTATAATCAATAAAGAGTTCACTCTGCTCTTACTGAGGGGACTTGTCTGAAAGCTGGCTTAGCGGTGTCCAGGCCAGAGAACATCCTGTGTGGACTCTTAACAATGAAACAGGAGCCGCAATGGACAAGGTGTTCTGATCTCCAAACCCAGCTCAGGGATTGAAGCTAACTACCGCCACTCCTTCCTCTCTCGAAGAACAAAGAGCCAGTACCCAGGGCTCTGCCCACCCCCGAGAAGGGGTGCCTGATTTCTTATGTCTAGGGTGGCTCCTCTGTGCAGATCAGACAGGACTGAGAGCAGACAAGCTGAGACCAGCATGACCAGTACAGGGCACGCAGAGCGTGGGGGCAGGTCCGAGGCTGCTGCTCGATGCAGGGTATGACACCAACCCTTCCTGAATTGCCATCGGATGAGGAGACCTGGTTCCCTGTTGAAAGAATGCCAGGGGAAATGCTGCATGTGCACAGCTGGAAATGGGGTTCCTTCTCTAGGAAGAGCACTCGGAATAACCTGCTGGAAATGGGGTTCCTTCCCTAGGAAGAGCACTCAGAATAACCTGCTGGAAATGGGATTCCTTGGCTAGGAAGAGCACTCAGAATAACCTGCTGGAAATGGGATTCCTTGGCTAGGAAGAGCACTCAGAATAACCTGCTGGAAATGGGATTCCTTACCTAGGAAGAGCACTCGGAATAACCTGCTGGAAATGGGATTCCTTACCTAGGAAGAGCACTCGGAATAACCTGCTGGAAATGGGGTTCCTTCCCTAGGAAGAGCACTCGGAATAACCTGCTGGAAATGGGGTTCCTTCCCTAGGAAGAGCACTCGGAATAACCTGCTGGAAATGGGGTTCCTTCGCTAGGAAGAGCACTCGGAATAACCTGCTGGAAATGGGATTCCTTCGCTAGGAAGAGCACTCGGAATAACCTGCTGGAAATGGGATTCCTTCGCTAGGAAGAGCACTCGGAATAACCTGCTGGAAATGAGATTCCTTCCCTAGGAAGAGCACTCGGAATAACCTGCTGGAAATGGGATTCCTTCGCTAGGAAGAGCACTCGGAATAACCTGCTGGAAATGAGATTCCTTCGCTAGGAAGAGCACTCGGAATAACCTGCTGGAAATGGGATTCCTTCGCTAGGAAGAGCACTCGGAATAACCTGCTGGAAATGAGATTCCTTCGCTAGGAAGAGCACTCGGAATAACCTGCTGGAAATGGGATTCCTTCGCTAGGAAGAGCACTCGGAATAACCTGCTGGAAATGGGATTCCTTCGCTAGGAAGAGCACTCGGAATAACCTGCTGGAAATGGGATTCCTTCCCTAGGAAGAGCACTCGGAATAACCTGCTGGAAATGAGATTCCTTCCCTAGGAAGAGCACTCGGAATAACCTGCTGGAAATGGGATTCCTTCGCTAGGAAGAGCACTCGGAATAACCTGCTGGAAATGGGATTCCTTCGCTAGGAAGAGCACTCAGAACAACCTGCCTGCTTGAGGGTGACAGCAAGTGTCTCACACTTCTCGTCTACTCCAAGTCAGATTCCTAAAAATAAAATAGAGCTCCAATGGGCAATTTAAGCAAAAGCCTTAGAAACATGGACACCTGAAATGCTGGCCTACATGAAGGGTACGATGACATTTTATATATTAAATAAAAATTCCCAGTCCTGTTTTAGTATTCATCAGAATAGCCTCTTGGACCCTCGAAGTTCTACACCTTTGGGAGATATAAATTTCCTTAAAATAAAGGGATTGCTTCTTTGTGTAAATAGCTTTCATTTTCTCCATCTGGAAGTGATTTCTGCCTGCATGTTGGAGCACAAAATACTGCAGTTAATTAAAGCATTACTGGATGTCATTTGCTAGAATGTATTTCCTTACTGCTGACAGAAAACAGAACAGACTCTAGGAAAGAAGTAGCAAGTCCGTGACCCTGGCCGCTCCTGGTGGCTGCCCTTCTCCCTTCCCTGACAGTCTAAGGAAGCAACGCGTGGGAGCAGAATGTGGCCGACTGAGCCCAGTCCTGACCTGCCCAGTTGCAGTGGAGCCTGTCTGTAATGTTGTGTAAAGTGTTTTGCTTCTGACTTGGAACCCTACTTGCCCTGTGAATTTCTATCCTGTGAACCTTCCCTTCTCTGTCCTTACCGTTCCCATCACAGCCTGCTCTTCCAGTGACGGCCAAGTGATTTCTCTCCTGCACGCATGAGTCCATCCTGTTTCCTTAGTAGCTGGATGGACGTTTTGCCATGAAAACTCTTTGGGAAGTCTTGTGTCCTTTAGTGATTTCTCTCCTGCACGCATGAGTCCATCCTGTTTCCTTAGTAGCTGGTTGGACGTTTTTGCCATGAAAACTCTTCGGGAAGTCCTGTGTCCTTTCAACAGGGGAAAACTGGCTGCGGCCCTTCCATTAGGCTCCAGGATCATTACCTCGTTTCCATTCTTTCTTTTCAACAGCTCCCCACTTTACTAGGGAAGCCAAGGGATCAACCTAATGAGAAAAGAACCTTCCCTGTAGCCCACCTGGAAGGGCATTGCCTGCCAGCTCCTTCCTTCTCACCTATGTGAACAGGAGGGAAGATGCCGGCGATCCATGGATCTGTGGGACATGAAGGACGTGTCCATCAGAAATGAAAGCAGCCTGGGATTGGAAGCATCCACAGAAGACTTGATCTGCAGGTCTTGATTTGGACCTGGCACTTTGACACCAGGCGAGTCACTGATCCCCTGAGCATCCATTTTCAATATTGGTGAGAGGGGATTATAATGAATATTGGCTGTGAAGGTCACACAAGACCGGGCTATATGCACTTGCTCTGCCATAAGGCAGTGTGAAGTGTGTTCGTGATCACTTGTGGGCGGGAGCCTGTGGCTGTCTTGCCTGGACTGGCTTTTTTAAACATGGATGAGTGGTGACAAATCCTGCGGCCGTGTGCAGGCTACATCCGCAGCGAGCTCCGCATATCTGGTCTTTGCCTTTTTAGGTCATGACTGTAATATCAAGCTTACACGAGAGTTTTAAAAGACTGAGCAGTATCCCCTTCCCCTGGCAGCTGCTGCTTCCGTAGCATTTAGGGATAAACCTGCAGACACTGAGAAGAGAGCTTCCTCCCTCCTGGGGCTGGTGGCGAGGCTGCCTGTTGTGGAAAATAGGGCATGTCTCCTGTGAATGCGAATTGCGAGGGTTGCCAAAGCCTCCCTTCCAAGAAACTTGCTTAGGTGTCTGGTGTCCACAGACCAGACTCTTCTCCCGACAGGGACAAAAATTCTTGCCTGCCTTTCTTTTTCTTTTTTTTCCTTTTACTTATTCTTGCCTTTTTTCTTCTTCTTCTTCTTTAGGTATGATGCCCCCCAAAAAACTAAGCAAGATTAACTTGGGACAGGCAGTTCTAACTGGGAAGCCTGAGCTCACAGGCTGTTTGGATTACTTTCCAATTGTGTTTCAAAGATGTTTAGACTTTTCCCAAGGCCAGCTGAATCCTTATAATCAGCCCAAAAGTTCCTTTCTGTTTCTGTCTGTCCCCTTTGAGGGTGTTGACTCAGAGAACCTGGGGCAATATGAGATGTTAAAATAAAAATAGCGTCCAACGTCCCGCCTCCTGGGAATGCTGCTCACTTCATCCGAGGGTTCTGGGAGCTTCTGCTCAGTCATCAAATGGAATTTGCACAATTGTCTTGCCTCCTGTTTTGGGTAATTTTTCAACAAGTGAGAAATTAAGAACAGCTTCTCAACAAACTTCCCTCTACTTCCAGGGCCAAGAAAAGTATTTGCAGTGTGGGCTGCAGCTTTCAGGGGTCTCAGGTGAAATGGTGGCAAGAAACCCCAGCTCCCTTCATGTGTTTGCCTTGCGCTGATGGAAAAGGAAGGCACTTCTCAGCTGCCAGAGACCACATTCCACAGGGTTCTTCACAAAATCAAGCACTGCAGTGGACCAACTGGAGCAGCCACTGGAGGGCTTTAGAAGGCAAATGGAATACATATCAAATGCTATATAAAGAAAACATCTGTTTACACAGAGTCCCCCACAGCCTCATACCTACACCCAATATCAAATGCTGTATAAAGAAACATCAGTTTACACACAGAGCCCCCCACAACCTCATACCCACACCGAATATCAAATGCTATACAAAGAAACATCAGTTTACACACAGAGTCCCCCACAGCCTCATACCCATGCCTGTCACATCTTTGCACAGCCCTAAAGGATCCAGAGCTTTGGATCAGCAGCTGGCTAGCTCGGAGGCCAGAGGAGGGTGCTGAGGGGAGTGGAGGTCAGTTGGGGTAGCCCTGGGCCCTGGCTGCACAGTCCAGCTGCTGTGTGGCCTGCATGTGGTATCTTAGGTCATGAGAGGGCCTGGGCAATTCAGTGCTATCTGTACATGTTGGTGGGGTGGGAAGGAAAAGGTAACTGTGTATTTACTGTGTCCTGGATACATTATCTCATCGGATGAAATTCCTGCTAAGTTAAGCTCCGTTTAGTGGACGGGACTTGGAGGCTCAAAGAGGGTAAGTGACAGGCCCAAGGATATGTGCCTAGTGAGGGGTGAGCCAGGATTCGATGTGTGACTAGTAAGGGGTCAGCCAGGATTCAATATGTGACTAGTAAGGGGTCAGCCAGGATTTCATATGGGACTAGTAAGGGGTCGGCCAGGATTTGATACGTGACTAGCAAGGGGACAAGCCAGGATTTGATATGTGACTAGTGAGGGGCGAGCCAGGATTCGATATGTGACTAGTAAGGGGTCAGCCAAGATTTGATATGTGACTAGTGAGGGGCGAGACAGGATTTGATATGTGACTAGTGAGGGGCGAGCCAGGATTTGATATGTGACTGGTGAGGGGCGAGCCAGGATTTGATATGTGACTGGTGAGGGGCGAGCCAGGATTTGATATGTGACTGGTGAGGGGCGAGCCAGGATTTGATATGTGACTGGTGAGGGGCGAGCCAGGATTTGATATGTGACTGGTGAGGGGCGAGCCAGGATTTGATATGTGACTGGTGAGGGGCGAGCCAGGATTTGATATGTGACTGGTGAGGGGCGAGCCAGGATTTGATATGTGACTGGTGAGGGGCGAGCCAGGATTTGATATGTGACTGGTGAGGGGCGAGCCAGGATTTGATATGTGACTGGTGAGGGGCGAGCCAGGATTTGATATGTGACTGGTGAGGGGCGAGCCAGGATTTGATATGTGACTGGTGAGGGGTGGAGCCAGTCAGGATTTGATATGTGGTTAGTGAGGGGTTAGCCAGTCAGGATTTGATATGTGGCTAGTGAGGGGCGAGCCAGGATTTGATATGTGACTAGTAAGGGGGTGAGCCAGGATTCAATACGTGACAAGTGAGGGGTGAGCCAGGATTCAATACGTGACCAGTGAGGGGCGAGCCAGGATTCGATACGTGACCAGTGAGGGGCGAGCCAGGATGCGATACGTGACCAGTGAGGGGCGAGCCAGGATTCCATACGTGACTAGTGAGGGGTGAGCCAGGATTCGATATGTGAGTAGTGAGGAGTGAGCCAGGATTTGATATGTGGCTACTGAGGGGCGAGCCAGGATTTGATATGTGACTAGTAAGGGGTCAGCCAGGATTTGATACGTGACTAGTCAGGGGGTCAGCCAGGATTCGATACGTGACTAGTAAGGGGTCAGCCAGGATTTGATATGTGACTAGTGAGGGGTGAGCCAGGATTTGACATGTGACTAGTGAGGGGTGAGCCAGGATTCAATATGTGACTAGTGAGGGGTGAGCCAGGATTCGATATGTACCTAGTGAGGGGTCAGCCAGGATTTGATATGTGGCTAGTAAGGGGTGAGCCAGCCAGGATTTGATATGTGACTAGTGACGAGTGAGCCAGGATTTGATATGTGACTAGTAAGGGGGTGAGGCAGGATTTGATATGTGACTAGTAAGGGGGTGAGGCAGGATTTGATATGTGACTGGTGAGGGGTGAGACAGGATTTGATATGTGACTAGTGAGGGGTGAGCCAGGATTTGCTATGTGACTAGTAAGGGGGCGAGCCAGGATTTGGCTCCAGCCTTCATTCCAACATCCATGCCTTTTGTACTTCACCAGCAGTTTTCAAATTTATGGGACAAAATTTTACATTGGATTCCCTCTATACAAAATAGATAAAAGTATTTTATGAATACATTTTATGAGTTCAAATATTTTTCAGAAGAAATCAGTAAAAGCATTGAAAACTATTCCAGCAAATAGGAAGCACTTTAAACCAAGGTTATGGATGAAAATGTGTGTGTATCAACCCCAGTTTACTTCTGGGTTGCACAGAATAGAGAAATCTTGATTTAATCCAGCTAAGAATTTTCAAATAGTATCCATTTTGTTTTGTTTTAAACAGCTCTTCTTGCAATGGTAGAGGCTCTTCAATTAAACAGAGATGGTAACAGGCTCCTTGTCTCCTGAAGTCTTCATGGCCGTGAACAGCCCTTGGAGAAAGAGGTTAACAGAAGCAAGGGCCTCCGACATCTTACATTTGCCCCCAGAAGACATTTGAGGATGCGCGTTGCGTTATTACCATTTTTAATGTTTAGTTTTTAGAACTAAAACTAAATGCATTTTAAAAGTGAAGTTAGAATCAAACCTTTGTAGAGGTTCTCACTCCACCAAAACATCACTGAAGATTTCCAGGTTTCCCCAGGTGTCTGTTTGGAAGCTGCTGCCCTCATTGACGCACGTTGCTCATTGTTTTTCTGACCTTAGAGGGGAGGTCAGGCTTGGCACTGTCACCTAGTACAGGAAAGGGCACCGTTTGACTTGAGGTAGCCACCCATTCAACAATAGCACCTAAACTCTCTCCCAAATTCTGTGCAAATACAGGTTGAGCATCCCTAATCTGAGATGCTTGGGCCCAGGAGTGTTTTGGAGTTCAGCTTTTTTTTGATTTTGGAATATGTGTATTATGTACATGCCACTTCAGCATCCCTAATTGGAAAATCCCAAATCCAAATCGCTTCAGTGAGCACTTCCTTTGGGTGTCATGTCAGCACTCAAAATATTTTGGATTTTGGAGCATTTTGTATTTCGGATGCTCGACCCATAAGGCTGTGGGGCACAACTGAGACGAGGCCTTGTGGCCTTTGGAAAGAACATCTGAGAACCCTCTGAGTAACCCCTGGTGCAAGGGAGACAGTACTAAGAACAAAGCAGTGTCACTGGGATGGAGAAGGGGCTTGGTCAGAGGGAGGTGGGCGATCAGAAGAACCCAATCCTTCCAAAAGCCCCAAATCTTGTGCTTGAGACCTCGCATGACTGTGTAGGCAATGCTTCCCGACCTTTTCAGGACTTGAAACAGAAGTGACGACATGAGTAACTCCTCTTCCCTCAACAGAAGAGGCTGCTGGGGCCGGAAGTGATGGGCCTGGGGACACCTCCCTCCCTCCACAGCCCCAAGGCTAAAGGGATCAGTATCTGGCCATTTGCTGGATACCTTTGCGGTGGCCCCAGCATTCCAGTTGGGAAACTCAGAATTGGGGCATGAAGGTTGGAATTAGAGCATCGGGGTTGGGTGGTGTGTTTGTTTCCGTGTTGGGAACTTTGTCAAAGTCCCTCCATTTGTAGATGGGATGCTGAGATCTCAAGAGGTTTAATCACTGGCTTACTCCCCGCCATAGAAGAGGAGCGGCAAAAGCTAAGCCACTTGTGTACATGCCACTCTCAATATCCTGCTCTCAACTCACCACACCACTTTCCCTAGCTGTCCAGTCCTGGGGTCTGTCCTTTGCCCCACCCAGGTCTTCAGAGACTGTCCCCTTTCACCCTCTGCTTGCAGAAGTGAACAGGGGTCCCCCTGCTTTTCCTGATGCCACTCCCCCCCACAGCCTGTCGGTTTTGTTAGTGCGTCAAGGGAGTCCACTGCCCCCATCCCCACATGCATTCCTGCCGAGCAAGTCAGCTTCCATCTCAAGCACTGTCCTGACCCCGCTCTTGAGGGTCACCGGTGCTCTTCTAGAAAGTCAGCTTCCATCTCAACCACTGTCCTGACCCCGCTCTTGAGGGTCACCGGTGCTCTTCTAGAAAGTCAGCTTCCATCTCAACCACTGTCCTGACCCTGCTCTCGAAGGTCACCAATGCTCTTCTACAAAGTCAGCTTCCATCTCAACCACTGTCCTGACCCCGCTCTCAAAGGTCACCGGTGCTCTTCTAGAAAGTCAGCTTCCATCTCAACCGCTGTCCTGACCCTGCTTTCGAAGGTCACCAATGCTCTTCTAGAAAGTCAGCTTCCATCTCAACCACCGTCCTGACCCTGCTCTCGAAGGTCACCAATGCTCTTCTAGAAAGTCAGCTTCCATCTCAACCGCTGTCCTGACCCTGCTCTCGAAGGTCACCAATGCTCTTCTAGAAAGTCAGCTTCCATCTCAACCGCTGTCCTGACCCTGATCTCGAAGGTCACCAATGCTCTTCTACAAAGTCAGCTTCCATCTCAACCACTGTCCTGACCCCGCTCTTGAGGGTCACCGGTGCTCTTCTAGAAAGTCAGCTTCCATCTCAACCGCTGTCCTGACCCTGATCTTGAAGGTCACCAATGCTCTTCTACAAAGTCAGCTTCCATCTCAACCACTGTCCTGACCCCGCTCTTGAGGGTCACCGGTGCTCTTCTAGAAAGTCAGCTTCCATCTCAACCACTGTCCTGACCCCGCTCTTGAGGGTCACCGGTGCTCTTCTAGAAAGTCAGCTTCCATCTCAACCACTGTCCTGACCCTGCTCTCGAAGGTCACCAATGCTCTTCTACAAAGTCAGCTTCCATCTCAACCACTGTCCTGACCCCGCTCTCAAAGGTCACCGGTGCTCTTCTAGAAAGTCAGCTTCCATCTCAACCGCTGTCCTGACCCTGCTCTCGAAGGTCACCAATGCTCTTCTAGAAAGTCAGCTTCCATCTCAACCACCGTCCTGACCCTGCTCTCGAAGGTCACCAATGCTCTTCTAGAAAGTCAGCTTCCATCTCAACCGCTGTCCTGACCCTGCTCTCGAAGGTCACCAATGCTCTTCTAGAAAGTCAGCTTCCATCTCAACCGCTGTCCTGACCCTGATCTCGAAGGTCACCAATGCTCTTCTACAAAGTCAGCTTCCATCTCAACCACTGTCCTGACCCCGCTCTTGAGGGTCACCGGTGCTCTTCTAGAAAGTCAGCTTCCATCTCAACCGCTGTCCTGACCCTGATCTTGAAGGTCACCAATGCTCTTCTACAAAGTCAGCTTCCATCTCAACCACTGTCCTGACCCCGCTCTTGAGGGTCACCGGTGCTCTTCTAGAAAGTCAGCTTCCATCTCAACCGCTGTCCTGACCCTGCTCTCGAAGGTCACCAATGCTCTTCTAGAAAGTCAGCTTCCATCTCAACCGCTGTCCTGACCCTGATCTCGAAGGTCACCAATGCTCTTCTACAAAGTCAGCTTCCATCTCAACCACTGTCCTGACCCCGCTCTCGAGGGTCACCGGTGCTCTTCTAGAAAGTCAGCTTCCATCTCAACCGCTGTCCTGACCCTGCTCTCGAAGGTCACCAATGCTCTTCTAGAAAGTCAGCTTCTATCTCAACCGCTGTCCTGACCCTGATCTCGAAGGTCACCAATGCTCTTCTACAAAGTCAGCTTCCATCTCAACCACTGTCCTGACCCCGCTCTCGAGGGTCACCGGTGCTCTTCTAGAAAGTCAGCTTCCATCTCAACCGCTGTCCTGACCCTGATCTCGAAGGTCACCAATGCTCTTCTACAAAGTCAGCTTCCATCTCAACCGCTGTCCTGACCTTGCTCTCGAGGGTCACCGGTGCTCTTCTAGAAAGTCAGCTTCCATCTCAACCACTGCCCTGACCCTGATCTCGAAGGTCATCAATGCTCTTCTACAAAGTCAGCTTCCATCTCAACCGCTGTCCTGACCCTGATCTCGAAGGTCACCGGTGCTCTTCTAGAAAGTCAGCTTCCATCTCAACCACTGTCCTGACCCTGCTCTCGAGGGTCACCGGTGCTCTTCTAGAAAGTCAGCTTCCATCTCAACCGCTGTCCTGACCCTGCTCTCGAAGGTCACCAATGCTCTTCTACAAAGTCAGCTTCCATCTCAACCACTGTCCTGACCCTGCTCTCCAAGGTCACCGATGCCCTTCTAGAAAGTCAGCTTCCATCTCAACCACTGTCCTGACCCTGCTCTCAAAGGTCACCGATGCCCTTCTAGCCTGACTCACATCTGTCTTGACCCTTCTCTGGAAGGTCACCGATGCCCTTCTAGCCTGACTCACATCTGTCTTGACCCTTCTCTGGAAGGTCACCGATGCCCTTCTAGCCTGACTCACATCTGTCTTGACCCTTCTCTGGAAGGTCACCGATGCCCTTCTAGCCTGACTCACATCTGTCTTGACCCTTCTCTGGAAGGTCACCGATGCCCTTCTAGCCTGACTCACATCTGTCTTGACCCTTCTCTCGAAGGTCACCGATGTTATTCTAATCTGGCTCACATCTGTCCTGACCCTTCCTTCTCTCGAAGGTCACCGATGTTATTCTAATCTGGCTCACATGTGTCCTGACCCTTCCTTCTCTCAAAGGTTACCGATGCCCTTCTAGCCCAGCTCACATCTGTCCTGACATTTCCTTCTCTCGAAGGTCACTGAGGTTCTTCGTCTGGCTCACATCTGTCCTGACCCTTCTCTCGAAGGTCACCGATGCCCTTCTAGCCCGGCTCACATCTGTCCTGCCCAACTGCAGGATAATGTAACTGTTCTGAGCACGTTTAAGGTAGGCTAGGCTAAGCTATGACATTGGGGAGGTTAGGTGTATTAAATGCATTTTTGACTTAACAATGTAACTTACAGTGGGTTTATTGGGACGTAACCCCATCATCTGTGGAGGGGCATCTGTGTGTGAGTCCCCTCTCCCTGGAATCCTCCTTTAACTGTGTGAGTCCCCCTCTCCCTGGAATCCTCCCTTAACTCTGAGTCCTCCTCCCCGGAATACTCCTTTAACTGTGTGAGTCCCCCTCTCCCCGGAATTCTCCCTTAACTCTGAGTCCTCCTCCCTGGAATACTCCTTTAACTGTGTGAGTCCCCCTCTCCCCGGAATCCTCCCTTAACTCTGAGTCCTCCTCCCCGGAATACTCCTTTAACTGTGTGAGTCCCCCTCTCCCCGGAATTCTCCCTTAACTCTGTGAGTCCTCCTCTCTCCGGAATTCTCCCTTAACTGCTTTACTGGCTCTGGGACTTCTTAGTCTCCTTCCCCAGCTCTCCTCTCCTTCTGAGCCTTGACAGCGGCCAGGCCTCGAGGTCTTAGGCCCCCTGTTTTCATGCCAGGCTCCTGAGGACTTACCTGCCATCACAGGTGCAAACACCAGCTACACCTGAGCTCCCCCCAATTTTCAGTTCCTGTCTTCTAGCCAACTCCCATCATTAGCTTATATGCACCATCTCGAGGTAAGCTCAGCTTCCTTCCTGAATCCCCCATTTTTCTTTTTTTCTTTTCTTGTCTCTCTCTCTTTTTTTTTTTTTTTTTTTTTTTTTTGAGACAGGGTCTTATTCTATTGCCCAGTCTTGTCTCAAACTCTTGGGCTCAAGTGAGCCTCCCGCCTCGGCCTCCCAATGTGTGGGGATTACAGGCATGAGCCACCGCACCCGGCTGAATTCCCCATTTCTAAATGGCTCCACCTTCCTTTCCTAGGGCCTCAATCTCAACACCTTACTCACCCCTAACCACTCTGGCTGTCAGCCAATATGGTTAGTTTATCATAACATTTTTTTCTTAATGATTACACAGAGAACAGTCACAGAAATCAAAAGAAAATCTTGCCCCAACAAATCAAGAATGGAAGTCCCAGGAAGCCCGCACCGGCGGGTCTCGGTGTGCGGAAGCCGGAAGCCATTCTCTGCTGCTCAGGCGGGTCTCGGTGTGCGGAAGCCGGAAGCCATTCTCTGCTGCTCAGGTGGGTCTCGGTGTGCGGAAGCCGGAAGCCATTCACCCCTGCACCGGCGGGTCTCGGTGTGCGGAAGCCGGAAGCCATTCACCCCTGCACCGGCGGGTCTCGGTGTGCGGAAGCCGGAAGCCATTCTCTGCTGCTCAGGCGGGTCTCGGTGTGCGGAGTCCACTCTCCCTGGGCTCCCGGCTGGGCCTGCTCCACGCCTCTTTCCGTAGGGTTTCTCAGAAGGAGCTAAAGAGCCTGGCTCCAGCGGGTCTCTTCTCAAAACCGACGACACTGATGGCTCAGTGTGGCCTGTGCTGCTATTACCCTATAATATTGCAGTAGCAATGCTCATTTTTAAAGTACAGTGGGGCCGGGCGCGGTGGCTCACGCCTGTCATCCCAGCACTTTGGGAGGCCGAGGCGGGCGGATCACGAGGTCAGGAGTACAAGACCAGCCTGGCCAACATGGTGAAAGCCCATCCCTACTAAAGATAACAAAAAATTAGCCAGGCATCATGGCGCACACCTGTAATCCCAGCTGCTTGGGAGGCTGAGGCAGGAGAATCATTTGAGTCTGGGAGGCGGAGGTTGCAATGAGCCAAGATCGCGCCATTGCACTCCAGCCTGGGCAATAGGCGAGACGCCATCTCAGGGGAAAAAAAAAAAAATTAGCCAGTTTTGGTGGCACATGCCTGTAATCCCAGCTACTCGGGGGGCTGAGGCAGGAGAATCACTTGAACCCGGGAGGTGGAGCTTTCAGTGAGCTGAGATCATGCCAGTTCACTCCAGCCAGAGTGAGACTGTCTCAAAAAACAACAACAAAAAAAAAACCACTACATGGAAATATATCAGAAGTCCTACTCTCCTGTGAAGATTTCTCTGTATCTGTATGTGGGAAAAAGGAGATACTTTGTCAAAGGAAAAAAAAAAAAAAGAAATTAACATGAAGCAGGCCCCCCCACCTGCCAGATAACAAAATCCTGGATGCTCAGGTCCCAGGCCCCGAGTCAGCCCTGTGGAACCTGTGGGCACAAAAATTTGGGTCTTGACTTCTCAGCATCCTGAGAATTCTGTATTTTCATTCCAGAGTTGGTTGAATCTGTAGCTGCAGAACTGGCAGATGCAGAAGGCTGACTGTACATCTTGGACTTTTCCCTTGCCATGTATAGATCTACTCATTATTTTTAATGGCTGCTTGGTGCTTTATAGCTCAGCTATGCCATCATTTTTTTTCTTTTTTTTGAGACGGAGCCTCGCCCTGTCCTCAGGCTGCTGGAGTGCAATGGTGCGATCTCGGCTCACTGCAACCTCCTTCTGCCAGGTTCAAGCGATTCTCCTGCCTCAGCCTCTTGAGTAGCCGGGATTACAGGCGCCCGCCACCACGCCTGGCTAATTTTTGTATTTTTTAGTAGAGACAGGGTTTCGCCATGCTGGCCAGGCTGGTCTCAAACTCCTGACCTCAGGTGATCTGCCCTCCTTGGCCTCCCAAAGTGCTGGGATTACAGGCGTGAGCCACTTCACCCGGTCCCATCATTTATGTCATCAGTGCTATGGTTTGAATGTATATGTCCCTCCAAAATTCTTATGTTGAAAGTGAATCCCCGATGTGATAGTATTAAGATGTGGGGCCCTTAGGAGGTGGTTAAATCATGAAGAAGGGGCCTCAAGAATGGGATTATGACCTTATAAAGAGGTGCAGGGGAGCTGTGTGACACCCTGTGACTTTCTGCCTTCTGCCATGTAACAAGCAACATGGCGCCATCTTGGAAGCAAAGAGCAGCCCTCACTGGGCACGGAGTCCGTCAGCACCTGATCTTCGACGTCCTGGCCTCCAGAGCTGTAAGGAACAACGATCTACTATTTATCAATTAGTCCGTGGCATTTTATTGTAGCAGCGTGAATACACTGAGACAGCCAGTCTTCTAGCAATATAGCCAAAAGGCTGTGTTTAGTTTTTTGGCATTAGACTCACATCATCTGTGAAAATCTTTCTGCAAATGTCTTTGCTTGCTTGTACTCACATTTTTGTAGGACATTATCCTAAAATGGTTACATTTCCACTTAAAATGATTAAGGCTGGGCATGGTGGCTCACACCTATAATCCCAGGACTTTGGAAGACCAAGTCAGGCAGATCACTTGAGCCCAGGAGTTTGAGAGTGACCTGGGCAACACGGTGAAACCCCATCTCTACAAAAAATTATCCGGGTGTGGTGGTGCGCTCCTGTAGTCCCAGCTACTCGGGAGGCTGAGACGGGAGGATCGCTTGAACCCTGGGATGTCAAGGCTGCAGTGAGCTGTGATTGCACTGCTGCACTCCAGCCTGGGTGACAGGGAGACCCTGTTTCAAAAAGGAGAAAAATCAGATTAAAGGAGGTGTACATTTAAAATGTCGCTAGCTGGCCGGGCGTGGTGGCTCATGCCTTTAATCCCAGCACTTTGGGAGGCCGAGACGGGCGGATCACAAGGTCAGGAGATCAAGACCATCCTGGCTAACACAGTGAAACCCTGTCTCTGCTAAAAATACAAAAAATTAGCTGGGCGTGGTGGCCGGCGCCTGTAACCCCAGCTACTCGGGAGGCTGAGGCAGGAGAATCGCTGGAACCTGGGAGGCGGAGCTTGCAGTGAGCCAAGATCGTGCCACTGCACTCCAGCCTGGGCAACAGTGCGAGACTCTGTCTCAAAAAACAAACAAACAAAAAAAGCCCGCTAGCTCTTGCCAAAACACCTGCTGCAGTTGGTTTTGCTGCACATCCCCATGGTGGGTGTGTGGGTACCCACCGCACATCCTCACTCATCCTGCGTGGCTTTTCCTGTTTCTTGAGAGAGAGGATGTAGTTTCATCTCTATCTGTAGAAACCCAGTAAGCAGAAGTTCCCCTTTGGTTTTCATTGCACAAGGCCAGCTGTGACCCAACTGTGTCTTGCAAGAGAGTGTTCTTATTCAAGATCTACTGAGTAAAGACCCCTGCCTTTCCTCCCGGTCAGGGGTCCTCCAGTGCGTGATTTCTTGGTTCTCTCAGGACATCAATGATCATCCTTTGGATAGGTAGCGAAGTCACATTTTGCTGTTAAGTGGTTGTTTTTCTATTCTTTGCCCCTTTCCGCAGCAGCAGGTGGGGCCTCGTCTATGCACTGCGCTCAGGTGCAGATGGTATCGAGATAATTGCTTGAATTCTTGTGCAGACTTTTGTAATTCTGCAGTAGAGACAAAAGTCTTGGAATCCGTGCTATCAATGTAAGAATGTTGGAATGCTGTTTTGGTTTGTTTTCTTATTCTAAAAATCTGCCTTTAAATGTTAAGAACCAAAATGCTGAAGCATTTTTGCACCCAATCCACACTATCATCACAGGGACCGGGCATCTGGACATAAACATTTTTTTTCCACCTAAAAAGAAAGAAAGTGGATTTTGCCCAGCAGATGAGAAAAGAAAAGCCAGAGAGGCTTAAAGGCTTGTAGGTCCCTGAGAAGAAACCCGGAGCCCCAGCACTCTGGGCTGAGCCCCAGTAGGAGAAGCACCCCCATCAGCTTGAGGAGGATGCTAATCTAGAAGCCACTGTCTGGCTTCCAGCAATGCCCCTGTGAGACTGAAGCCCCCAGAGAAAAGTTCTGTGTTCAACAAGGCACCAGGAGACAGCGAGTGAGGACCTGAGGGTGCTGTCCAGTTAGAAAGGCCTAAGGGGGAGGCCTCTGTGTACCGCAGAGTCCCTCCTACCCAATCATGGGCAGGTAATGGCTGCTAAGAGCTCCCAAGCTCCCAGAAGTAGTGAAAGGACCAGCACATTGGCTGAGACCTGGATTTGGAACAAGCAGAATGGAAAGCAGGCGGCACGTGGACACCAAAGCAGACAGTAGGGCTGGGTGTGCTGGCTCCTGCCTGTCATCCCAGCACTGTGGGAGGCCGAGGCAGGCGGATCACCCGAGGTCAGGAGTTCAAGACCAGCCCAGCCAACATGGCGAAAGCCTGTCTCTACTAAAAATACAAAAATCAGCTGGTGTAGTGGTGCATGCCTGTAGTCCCAGCTACTTGGGAGGCTGAGGCAGGAGAATGGCTTGAACCTGGGAGGCAGAGGTTACAGTGAGCTGAGATCATGCCACTGCACTCCAGCCTGGGTGACAGAGAAAGACTCTGTCTCAAAATTAAATTAAATTAAATTGCTGAGAATGGCCAGGCGCGGTGGCTCACGCCTGTAATCCCAGAACTTTGGGAGGCTGAAGCGAGTGGATCACTTGAGGTCAGGAGTGTGAGACCAGCCTGGCCGACATGGTGAAACCATGTCTCTACTAAAAATACAAAAATTAGCTGGGCGTGGTGGCAGGTGCCTGTAGTCCCAGTGACTCTGGAGGCTGAGGTAGTAGAATCCCTTGGACCTGGGAGGCGGAGGTTGCAGTGAGCTGAGATTGCACTCCTGCACTCCAGCCTGGACCACAGAGACTCTGTCTCAAAGAAAAAAAGCAGAGAGTGGCACTCAATGGCCGAGCAGAACAAGTTACACGTCAGTAGAGGCCAGGGAGGTGGGAAGATCAGCATGGGCCAGGTGCTCACCACCAGCCTCCCAGCCTTGCTGCCAGGATGCCAGATAAGCCTCCCAGGTGCCACCACCTTGGCCAAGCTCCCCTCCCTCCTCTGCCTTGCCTTTCTCTCCTCTCCTCTCCTTTTCCCTCCATCCCTCCCTCCCTCCCTTTCTCTCTCTTTCTTTCTCTCTCTCTTTCTTTCAACAGGCTCTCACTGTGTCACCTAGGCTGGAGTGCAGTGGTGCGATCTTGGCTCACTGCAGCCTCTGCCTCCCAGGTTCCAGCGATCCTCCCACCTCAGCCTCCCAAGCAGCTGGGACTACAGGCGCCCAGCACCACACCAGGCTAGTTTTTGTATTTTTTGTAGAGATGGTGTTTCACCGTGTTGCCCAGACTGATCTCTCCTGAGCTCAAGCAATCCTCCCGCCTCAGCCTCCTGAGTAGCTGGGACTACAGGCATGCGCCACCACACCCGGCTATTTTTTGTATTTTTTGTACAGATGGGGTTTCACCCTGTTGGCCAGGATGGTCTCGAACTCCTGACCTCAGGTGATCCACCCGCCTCGGCCTCCCAAAGCGCTGGGATTACAGGCGTGAGCCGCCGTGCCCAACCCTCAAAGGGGTGTTTTTAGAAATTGATATTTGTGTCTTGGTCTAGCCCTGCAGGGTTCATGTTTGAATTCTACAGAGAAGGCAGAAATAAAGGAAGCCACGGGGCTTCAGGACCACCCCACCCACGCAACCAGGAGGGGTGAGAGGCGCTTTGCAGCAGAAGACCTACAGGCTAATGCCCGAGAGCCACAGGGGCCTCTGCCACCACCAGCACCGGCAGCAGTGCCCAGGGCTTTGGGCGGTGCCTGGCAAGGGGCAAGGGGCAAAGGGCAAGGGGACCGTACCCATGTGCCACCACTGTCACCTCTCTCAAGAGGCTGCAGGGGCTGATGGTACTTGTAGCAGGGGCACCCAATCGGAGGACCATGGTGGTCCACCGTCACACACCTTAGCAGAACCAGAGGCCAGGACAGTGAGGGCTAGAAAAAGAAAAGAAAATTAAGAGCAGGCATTCCATAAGTGTGACCAGGTTTATTTATGAGCTTATGAAAGACATCTTCGGGGATTCCCAGACGTACTTGTCAGTGGTTGGAGGTGGGGGTGGAAGTCCTACAAGGGAGCGGGGAGAGGGGCAACAACACTGCCCCAGTTGGCCCCAGGCTGATGTGGCCTGGGAAGAGATAAGACCCTCCCTCACCACAAGTTCTTCCCCCTCTGGCTCATTCTCAGTAAAGACCCAAAACTGAAACACATTTCTTCAAAGCATGTAAATGTCTTCAGCAAGTATCAGGCTGCAAACCACAGCTGCCTCCAGCCTGCATGTATTCTGCTCTGAACTGGGGATAGGAGAGGGGTACGTGAAGCCACTGTGGCTCCCGGGAAGGACACAGCTAAGTCACCTGTCATTGTGTGGAGCAAACAGGCTGCCTCCAAGGGCCCTCGCTCTCCGTCCCTTCCCGGGCAGCCCCCACAGACCCGAATCCTCAAGGGGCCCTGGAGTACCATGGAGACCTTTGAGCCTGCCTTTGGAGTGTGGCCACACAGACCAGACGTTTGATCCCCAGGGATAATGACAGCACGCCCTTCTAGCAAGTCAGCCCAGGAGCCGAGGGTCTTAACTTCAACTGCTCACCCAAGGGCTACTTTTCTGGTCTGCAAGTCCTCGTCCAGCACGAATACGCAGAACGGAGCCCGAAGTGCAAGTGTATTGATGCAGCTCCGAGGAGGCCATGTGCCCCAGCTCTTTGCCAAATCCCACCTGGATTTATTTTGCAGAAGACAAGGAAGGTCCTTTTCTGTGTAACTAGGGAGCATTTGGGAGAATCAGCTCTTAGCTTACAAAGAGGCCTCCAGAGTGGAGCCGTGTTTGACTGGCATCAGGGGACTCCCCACACTGGGCACACTGGACTGATGGATGCCAGCTGCACTTCCTGTCTGGGTTTGTGTCATCATTTGGACCTGGCCAGACCCCACGACTCCAGCCAAACGGGTGGTCTCCCAACTGAGAGATCAGAAAAAAAGCCAACGGGGCACAGTGGCTCACACCTATAATCCCAGCACTTCAGGAGGCCAAGGCAGGTAGATCACCTGAGGTCAGGAGTTTGAGATCAGCTTGGCTGATTTCAACATGGTGAAACCCTGTCTGTACTAAAAATACAAAAATTAGCTGGGTGTGCTGGTAGGCTTCTGTAATCCCAGCTACTCGGGAGGCTGAGGCAGGAGAATCACTTGAACCCAGGAGGTGGAGGTTGCAGTGAGCTTAGATCGTGCCACTGCACTCCAGCCTGGGCAACGAGAGCAAAACACTGTCTCAAAACAAAAAACAAAAAAACCCAAACAAACAAAAAACAAAACAAAACTAAGAAAGCCAGCCTGTTCCTTCAGACCTGATAGCCCTGAAAGCGAGAACTTTGGTAGCCCTTTGCCTGTATCTGTTTCAGGCCATCTTTGTGAGTCTCGGGGGCTCAGGGTTATGAATCGAGCTCACCAACATGTGTGGGTACACTCATATGGGCTGTGTTCTGTCAGGTTTGTGTTTTTAATTCAATTCGCTTCTTTACTGAATATGACAGGTCCCTTTCAATGTTCTTTGAAAACTATCACCTTAATCTAAACTAAGGAACAAAATAACTTTTTGTTAAAAACATTTTTAGGACAGGGTCTCGTTCTACCACCCAGTAGTGCGATGGCGTGATCATAGCTCATTGCAGCCTTGACGTGGGCTCAAGTGATTCTCCCACCTCACCCTCCTGAGTATCTGAGACTACAGGTACCTGCCACCCACCTCACCCTCATGAGAATCTGAGCTCACCCTCCTGAGAATCTCAGACTACAGGTACAGGCGGCCACCATGCCAGGCTAATTTTAACAAAAATTTTGTAGTTGGCTGGGTGTGGTGGCTCACACCTGTAATCCCGGCACTTTGGGAGGCCGAGGAGGGAGGATGGCTTGAGCCCAGGAGTTCAAGAGCAGCCTGGGCAAGATGGTAAGACCCTGTCTCTACAAAAATAGAAATAAATGTTAAAAAAATGATAAATTATGAGAACAGAGCAATAAAAATATAAACATAAATTATAAAAGTAGAGCTTTACGGCTGGATGTGGGGGTGCACTCCAGTGGTCCCAGCAACTCAGGAGGCAGAAGTGGGAGGGTTGCTAGAGCCCAGGAGTTCAAGGCTGCAATGAGCTATGATCGTGCCACTGCACTCCAGCCTGTGTGACAGAGGGAGACCCTGTCTCTATTAAAAAACAAAACAAAACAACAACAAAAAAAGTGTAGAGATGAGGACTCACTATGTTGCCCAGGCTGGTCTCAAACTCCTGGGATCAAGCAATCCCCACCCCTCGGCTTCCTGAAGTGCTGAGATGACAGGTGTGAGCCACCATGCCCAGCTGTAAAGTTCTGTTTTTCAAAAAGCATTTTGGTTGACAGGTGCATATGAAGGAAAGAGAAGACCTGGTTCAACAGCAGGCAAATCCACACATCATGAGCCACAGAACAGCCCAAGACCTGGGGGCTGGGAGAGGGCCGGTGTCGGGCACGGGGCACCAGCCAGCATGCGGGGCCTGGGGTGTGTTTAATCCACTGTCTGGCAGGGCTTACGGAAGACAAGCTGTTCCGAAACAGTACGCAGCAGCGGTGTGGGGGTCCTGCCCTCTTCCTGTCTGACTTAACTCCCACTTGGGCAGCGGCTTAATTTAGTGCAGAAAAAACAAAAACGCAGGACTGGCATTCATGGTGAGGCAGCTTTCGTTTCTCAGACCCTGCCGGGAGAGGCCTCGGGCCAGAAGCCGAGTCCTCTGAGGACACCGCATCTCCATGACCCAGGCGAGGGACTGACGGTCCTGCTCTGGAAGGACGGCTTTGAGAAGAGACCTGTCTTGTGCAAGCCCCTGGTCTCCTGGGTCCCGCTCATTTTGTGTGATTCGCCCCTGATTTCTAGGTGCACCCCAGCTATTATTCAAAAGCAGGCCAGTCTTCAGAGCTGGAAAAGGTAGAATGGGCTGCCTTTCCCAGGGTTTGCTTTGAGTTTCTTTAAGCAATGTCCTTTGGAAAACATCAAGATAAGACACAGGATGATGATGGGCCCAGTAGCGAGGCCCTTCCGAAAATCCAAAGCAGATTAGCTGTGTGGACTCACTGCTCAGGACTATGGAAACACTCCTGACTTCCAGGGGCTGAGCCGCATGGCTCTTATGTAAGGAGAAAGAAAATCGCCTTCTCTCCCACCCGGAAGGACTCCTGGGCAGGTTGGAATACCAGGAGTTCAAGGAGAAGCCTCGGCCAGGCCACGGGTGCTCCCTGGGTTCACCTCATGTCTCTTCCAGTCGGCTTAGGCTTCTCTTTGAGCTCTTTAAAGACAAGGGCGCGATCTCGGCTCACTGCAACATCCACCTCCTGGGTTCAAGCAACTCTCCTGCCTCAGCCTCCTGAGTAGCTGGGATTACAAGTGCCCGCCACCACGCCCGGCAAATTTTTGTATTTTTAGTAGAGACGGGGTTTCACCATGTTGGCCAGGCTGGTCTCGAACTCCGGACCTCAGGTGATCCACCTGCCTCGGCCTCCCAAAGTGCTGGGATGACAGGTGTGAGCCACCACACCCGGCCCCCTCCTCAGCATAATTGATTGGCTGAACAGAACTCTGGGAGCCATGGGGGGTGTCAGTGTTTGGTGCAGCTTATTGGTGGGGTGGTGGCTGAACGGTTTGGGGGAATCTGCATATGGGACCGGGGTCTCTACCTCAGCTTCTCCGTCAGTGTCAGTGCCGGGGCTGGATTCTCTCCAAGCCCCTCTGATTTCTTGTGTGTGTCAGTTCTGAGCATATCTGTAAATCTGTAAAGGAGGAGGACCGGGTGCAGTGGCTCACTCCTGTCATCTCAGCACTTTGGGAGGCCAAGGACGGGGGTGGATTGCTTGAGGTCAGGAGTTCAAGACCAGCTTGGCCAACATGGCAAAACCTCATCTCTACAAGAAATACAAAATAGCCAGGTGGGGTGGTACACCCTGTAGTCCCAGCTACTGGGGAGGCTGAGGCAGAAGAATCACTTGAACCCAGGAGTTCAACCCAGATTGAAGGAGGCGGAGGTTGCAGTCAGCCAAGATTGCACCACTGCACTCCAGCCTGGGTGACAGAGTGAGACTCTGTCTAAAAAAAAAAAAAAGCTGGTGGCTCACGTCTGTAATCCCACCACTTTGGGCGGCTGAGGTGGGCGGATCACGATGTCAGGAGATCGAAACCATCCTGGCTAACACAGTGAAACCCTGTCTCCACTAAAAATACAAAAAATTAGCCGGGCGTGGTGGCGGGCGCCCAGCTACTTGGGAGGCTGAGGCGGGAGAATGACGTGAACCCGGGAGGTGGAGCTTGCAGTGAGCCAAGATCACGCCACTGCACTCCAGCCTGGGCGACAGAGGGAGACTCAGTCTCAAAAAAACACAAAAACAAAAACAAAAGAAGGAGGCCACACTGGGTGACAGGAACCTCTCCTCAGTGCCAGGGTGGCACCTTGGCAAGTCCTTTAAGTAGATCTGGCTTCCTGAACCCAGAGGACAACCTCAGGACCACCATCTTCCCAGACACCTTTCCCAATCTAACCAGGCTTTCATGCTTGGCTGGCAAATTCCCTCCAGTGAGTCCAGGCCTCCCACTGCCAACAAACCGTCTTTCTACAACCCCAGAAAGCACTGAGACTCCTCCTCCGATGCCACCTGGGCTGTGCAGATGGTGGGATCCAAAGGGGTAGGAGGTACAGCTGTGTCCCTGCATCAGAGGCCTGTGAAGCGGAGTGACTCCATCTTGAATAGGAGCTGGGTAAAATGAGGCTGAGACCTACAGGGCTGCATTCCCAGATGGTGAAGGCATTCTAAGTCACAGGATGAGATAGGAGGTCGGCACAAGATACAGGTCATAAAGACCTTGCTGATAAAACAGGCCGCGGTAAAGAAACCGGCCGAAACCCACCAAAACCAAGATGGCCATGAGAGTGACCTCTGGTGGTCCTCACTGCTACACTCCCACCAGCGCCCTGAGAGTTTACAAATGCTACGGCAACGTCGGGAAGTTACCCTATATGGTCTAAAAACGGGGAGGCATGAATAGCCCACCCCTTGTTTAGCATATCCTCAAGAAATAACCATAAAAATGGGCAACCAGCAGCCCTCGGAACTGCTGTAAGGAGTAGGCATTCTTTTTTTCCTTTACTTTCCTAATAAACTTGCTTTCACTGTATGGACTCGTCCTGAATTCTTTCTTGCCCAAGATCCAAGAATCCTCTCTGAGGGCCTGGATCGGGACCCCTTCCCAGTAACACTTGCAATACCATTTGGCCAGGACCGTGCACTGTGGATTTTGCAATCTCTTCCCGCAGACCCTGAATGAATGAACCACCTGCCAGCACACAGGCGCGTGCCAGGTTTTACCTTCTGTGGAGGGATGATGCCGACTTTCTGTTCTCAGCAAGCTGTCTCGGATCAGCTGTGTGACTTGGGGCAAGTGAAATCC
The DNA here is from genome assembly GCF_000001405.40 of Homo sapiens. NCBI lineage: Eukaryota > Metazoa > Chordata > Mammalia > Primates > Hominidae > Homo > Homo sapiens. Next base: position 51,594 of record NW_017363817.1, on the reverse strand, counting down.
CTCTCTGTTTCCTTACATGAAAGTGACAGCTAAGGGAGGTAAGAGGACGGAACTTGGCCAGCGGGTCTCTAAGATCTACCTGCTCTGAGTTTCTGAGTTTAACAGGTCTGGCCCAAGCAGGACAAATATCCTTTATCTTTACAAGGATGTGCACTGGGCTGCCGCTGTCTCAGCCAGGGACGTCCAGGGTGTGACTCCTGAGCTGTCCTGTAGGTCTGGGTGAGGCTTCAGCTCCAGGCCCTCGGCTGAATACCCATCAGAACCCCCGGGGAGGGCTGCAGGTGGCGTGGGGACTCTGCACTTTCTGCTGACCTCGGAGACCCGTGAGAAACAGCCCAGTCCTACACCCCGCAGCTACGGAGACGAGTTCCCACTCAGGATAAGGCTTCGCTGTCAAACCGAAGGGGTGGGGAGAAGTGCTGTCTGTTTTTCAGAAGGGATTCTCCTGGGGGTGGGGTGGGCAGAGCGGTTAGCCCCGGTGAGGGAGAAGCCGTGGCCCCCACCGGGCGGCCGGTGGCCCTAGACGCAGCCCGCGGTCACCCTGCTGAGCGTGTCCACGAGCCTGCGCCAGCCGCAGAAGGTCTCTGCCCCGCGTGTCCTGCGTGGCCACACAGCCTGTCCAGCTGAGCACCAGGGGTGACCCGCGCCTGCGGAGCCCCCGAGGACAGGCCTCTCCTCCGGGACGGGCAGGAGCGCCAGGGCCCGCCTTCCGGGGCCAACAGGCGGCTGCGGCCACACGGAGCGCATTAACTGGTAATAATTTCCAGCTGTTTGCTCGCCGGCTTCGCGCGGCTCCCCAGGCCTCTGCGGGATGGGTCCCCCGACCGCGAGCTCGGAAGCTGTTAGCGCCTCCCGGGTCCCGCTGGGACAGGGCGAGGGGTCAACGCGCCCCCAGGGCCCCGGCGCGAGCGGGTCCCCGCGTCCACCTGTAGCGCGCTGGGGGCCAGACCCCGGGCTGGGGGGCCTTTGGCGCTCGGTGCCGCCAGCGCGCGGGGATCGGCCTCGGGGGGCGGGGCGGGGGCGGGGCCGGAGGGCGGGGAAGGGGCGGGGCGGGGCCGAGGCCGGGCCTGGGGCGGGGAAGGGGCGGGGAGGGGGCGGGGCCGAGGCCGGGGCGGGGAAGGCTCGGGGCGGGGCCGAGGCCGGGCCTGGGGCGGGGAAGGGGCGGGGAAGGGGCGGGGCCGAGGCCGGGGCGGGCAGCGGCGAGACCCGGGCGGCGCGCGGGCGGCGGGGCAGGGAGGGAGGTAGGGCGGCCGGGCGGGCAGCGGCCCCGGCCCGCGTCTGCGCCCCTCGCTGTCCCGCGACCCCGGCGCGGGTGCCTCGGGCCCCCCTCGCGCGCCGCCATGGTGGGCCGGCTGAGCCTACAGGATGTGCCCGAGCTCGTGGACGCGAAGAAGAAGGGCGACGGCGTCCTGGACAGCCCGGACTCGGGGCTGCCCCCCAGCCCCAGCCCCAGCCACTGGGGGCTCGCGGCGGGCGGAGGCGGCGGAGAGCGCGCGGCGGCACCGGGGACGCTGGAGCCCGACGCGGCGGCGGCGACCCCCGCGGCTCCGGTGAGTGGCCCCGCGCGGGCTCCTTCCCTCCCAGCGCAGCGGTTTCCGCTCCGGGACCCCCAGCGGCTCCTGCCCGCCGGGCGCGCTGTGTCGGGACGGGGCGGCCATCGCCGGGAGCCCGGGGCGGGAGCGCCGCGAGCCTGGCCAGCTGGAGCGCGTGGCTGGAAAATTGTCACCGCCTGGGAGGCGCGGGAGCCCCGGGAGCGGCGAGCCGCCGTCTCCTCCCTTCGGGGTGGCGGTCCCGGGGCTGCCGGGCTGCGGGTCGGCCACATTCCTGCCTTTGCCGGGCGCGGGGGGCGCCTGGAGGGAACCCCGGCCCGACACCCCGCGGCTTTGGGCTCCCACGGGGCCGCGCGCCTCTTCCCAGCCGGGCCCCCCATCCCGGGGCAGAGGGCCCAGAGCCTTCCTCGACCTTGGGAGAAAGGTCCCTCCCCAGCCTGCGGCCTCCCGGGGCCCCCTCTTGGCCTGAACACCGGGAACCCGGTGTCCCTCACATGACGGGTGGGAGGCCTTTGGGTGGGTGGAAACTTTCACGGAGTAATCCTCTTGCTTTACTTTAAAATGTTCATTTAAAGAAAAGACTCCACCGAATCTTTTGCCCTGGGACTCGCTCGGATGTTGGTGTTTGCTGCCTTTACTTAGAACTCTGGGGAAGCCACATCCTGCCCGCGGTCTCAGAAAAGCTGGAGCGGGGCCGCAGCCCGGCCCTGCCCCCCGGCATGGGGACTTCCTCCCCCCGGTGAAGGCGGCCGCTGCCGTCCCTAGGGATCCCCACGAGAGGTTCCTGGGGACCCCCACGGGAGCCCCGGCGGTGCTGGTGGTCTCGCCCCTCCCACCCTGTCTCTCGGTGGGCATCAGGGCAGTTTCCTCATCGCCATCCCAAGGCGGGGCTGGCTTCAACTTGGCCTTCAGCGCCCTCCCGTCCGGCCCCATCTGGCCTCGTCGTCCACCTGCCCTGGCCACAGGCCGGACACATGCACCACACCAGCGCTTCTGCTGCCGCCCTCCACCCGCGTGCCCAGGGCCTCTTACCTCTCCCAGGAGGCGTCCTGCTGGCCCCTCAATGCCCAGCTCATGTCACCTCCTCTGGGAGGCCTTCCTTGATGCTTCCCAGGGGCCAGAGTCCACGACGACATCCCCATTCCTGTGGCCCTTCGTTCATGTGTCTGTTGTGACCTCCGCTGCCTCACATCACCCCAGCCCCAGCCTGGAGCGAGGGTCGTGCTCAGGGAGGGTCTGTCGGGTGGGCAGGGATGGAAAAGCAGAGAAGGCGACAGAACCGAGTGCTCCTGCCGATGCCTGGAGGAAGGCGGTAGGGGGTTCAGAGATCACCCACCTTCCCATGAGGTGCCCCCTTCTGTTGGGCAGGGTCTGGCAGCCAGAGAGTGGGGGCAGAGCAGGGCCTACTGTCACTATTTGGAGGCTGTTTGCAGAAGCCAATGCCCACACCTTATGTGCCCTCCCCCCCACACCTTAGGTACCCCCCCAACACACACACACCTTATGTACCCCCCAACACACACACACACACCTTATATACCCCCAACACACACAAACACACACACACACCTTATATACCCCCAACACACACACACACACACACACCTTATATACCCCCAACACACACAAACACACACACACACCTTATATACCCCCCAACACACACACACACACCTTATATACCCCCAACACACACAAACACACACACACACCTTATATACCCCCAACACACACACACACACACACCTTATATACCCCCCAACACACACACACACACACACCCCTTATATACCCCAACACACACACACACACACCTTATATACCCCCCAACACACACACACACACCTTATATACCCCCAACACACACAAACACACACACACACCTTATATACCCCCAACACACACACACACACACACCTTATATACCCCCCAACACACACACACACACACCTTATATACCCCCAACACACACACACACACACCTTATATACCCCCAACACACACAAACACACACCTTATATACCCCCAACACACACAAACACACACACACCTTATATACCCCCAACACACACACACACACACCTTATATACCCCCAACACACACAAACACACACCTTATATACCCCCAACACACACAAACACACACCTTATATACCCCCAACACACACAAACACACACACACCTTATATACCCCCAACACACACACACACACACCTTATATACCCCCAACACACACACACACACACCTTATATACCCCCAACACACACAAACACACACCTTATATACCCCCAACACACACAAACACACACACACCTTATATACCCCCAACACACACACACACACACCTTATATACCCCCAACACACACAAACACACACACACACCTTATATACCCCCAACACACACACACACACACCTTATATACCCCCAACACACACAAACACACACACACACCTTATATACCCCCAACACACACAAACACACACACACACCTTATATACCCCCAACACACACAAACACACACACACCTTATATACCCCCAACACACACACACACACACCTTATATACCCCAACACACACAAACACACACCTTATATACCCCCAACACACACAAACACACACACACCTTATATACCCCCAACACACACACACACACACACCTTATATACCCCCAACACACACACACACACCTTATATACCCCCAACACACACAAACACACACCTTATATACCCCCAACACACACAAACACACACACACCTTATATACCCCCAACACACACACACACACACCTTATATACCCCCAACACACACAAACACACACACACACCTTATATACCCCCAACACACACACACACACACCTTATATACCCCCAACACACACAAACACACACACACACCTTATATACCCCAACACACACAAACACACACACACACCTTATATACCCCCAACACACACAAACACACACACACCTTATATACCCCAACACACACACACACACACCTTATATACCCCAACACACACAAACACACACCTTATATACCCCCAACACACACAAACACACACACACCTTATATACCCCCAACACACACACACACACACACCTTATATACCCCCAACACACACACACACACCTTATATACCCCAACACACACAAACACACACCTTATATACCCCCAACACACACAAACACACACACACCTTATATACCCCCAACACACACACACACACACCTTATATACCCCCAACACACACAAACACACACACACACCTTATATACCCCCAACACACACACACACACACCTTATATACCCCCAACACACACAAACACACACACACACCTTATATACCCCCAACACACACAAACACACACACACACCTTATATACCCCCAACACACACAAACACACACACACCTTATATACCCCCAACACACACACACACACACCTTATATACCCCAACACACACAAACACACACCTTATATACCCCCAACACACACAAACACACACACACCTTATATACCCCCAACACACACACACACACACCTTATATACCCCCCAACACACACACACACTCACACACCTTATATACCCCCAACACACACACACACACACCTTATATACCCAACACACACACACACACCTTATATACCCCCAACACACACACACACACCTTATATACCCCCAACACACACAAACACACACACACACCTTATATACCCCCAACACACACACACACACACCTTATATACCCCCAACACACACAAACACACACACACACCTTATATACCCCCAACACACACAAACACACACACACACCTTATATACCCCCAACACACACAAACACACACACACCTTATATACCCCCAACACACACACACACACACCTTATATACCCCAACACACACAAACACACACACACCTTATATACCCCCAACACACACAAACACACACACACCTTATATACCCCCAACACACACACACACACACCTTATATACCCCCCAACACACACACACACTCACACACCTTATATACCCAACACACACACACGCACACACCTCATATACCCCCCAACACACACACACACACCTTATATACCCCCAACACACACAAACACACACACCTTATATACCCCCAACACACACAAACACACACACACCTTATATACCCCCAACACACACACACACACACACACCTTATATACCCCCCAACACACACACACACACACCTTATATACCCCCCAACACACACACACACTCACACACCTTATATACCCAACACACACACACGCACACACCTTATATACCCCCCAACACACACACACACCTTATATACCCCCAACACACACAAACACACACACACACCTTATATACCCCCAACACACACAAACACACACACACCTTATATACCCCCAACACACACACACACACACACACCCCTTATATACCCCCCAACACACACACACTCACACACCTTATATACCCAACACACACACACGCACACACCTTATATACCCAACACACACACACACACACACACACCTTATGTACCCCCAACACACACATACCTTATGTACCCCCAACACACACACACCTTATGTACCCTCCCCCCAACACAAACACACACACACCTTATGTACCCTCCCCCCAACACACACACAAACACCTTATGTACCCTCCCCTGCCACACACACACACAATTCACTGACCTTGGCTCCCACCCACCGCCCCTCGTCTAGCCCGGCCTTGCTAAGCCTCCACCCAGGTTCAGGACCTGGACCCTCAGGGCCCTCTGCGTCTCTGTTCTGGTCCCCTTTGGCTTTCGCATTTCCACCCCATGCCCCTACTTGACACACCTTGTCCTGGTCTCAGGATAAAGGTCTCAGAGCCAACCTTCTAGAAACGTTTGCCTCCTTCTCTGTCCTCGGGAGATGTGGGGGTGGGGCTGCCAACTCCACACCCTGGCGCAAATGTACATCCTTCTCTCAAATTAGGCAAAAAAAATGATAGATCCCGAGTGAACCAGGGAACATAAAGGGCTTCCGAGTTCAGGCTCTGCACCGTGTTTATCTTTGCACTCTTTAACACGGAAGCCCTGATCCTGCAAATTGGGTGAAAACTAGCCCCATGTCTAGGATGTAACTGACTTCTAGTGAGCCTTCTTGGTTAATCAGAACGTCCCATGCATTGGCCGGGCTGGAAGTCCTGCTGTGCTCTGGTTCACTGAGTATTCTGGATAGCGGAAAGTGACAGGAAGAACATGTGGTGTCCGTCTCTCTTTTTTTTTTTTTTTTTTTTTTGACACAGAGTCCCACTCTGTCGCCCAGGCTGGAGTGCAGTGGCATGATCTCGGCTCACTGCAACCTCTGTCTCCTGGGTTCAAGCGATTCCCGTGCCTCAGCCTTCCTAGTAGCTGGGACTTCAGGCACACAGCACCATGCCTGGCTCATTTTTGTATTTTTAGTAGAGACGGGGTTTCGCCACGTTGGCCAGGCTGGTGTCGAACTCCCAACCTCGGGTGAGCCACCTGCCTTGGCCTCCCAAAGTGCTGGGATTACAGGTGTGAGCTACTGTGCCCGGCCTGGTGTCCATCTTACCAATGAAAGTTTTTTCTTTAAAGACAGAGTCTATTGTTCTGCCCGCTTTGTTGCCTAGACTGGAGTGTAGTGGCGATCTCAGCTCATTGCAGCCTCAACCTCCCAGGCTCAAACGATCCTCCCACCTAAGCCTCCTGAGTAGCTGGGACTACAGGCGCGTACCACCACACCCAGCTAATTGTTGTATTTTTTGTAGAGATGGGGTCTTGCCATGTTGTCCAGGCTGGTCTCAAACTCCTGGGCGCAAGGGATCCTCCCACCTCCACCTCCCAAAATGCTGGGATTACAGGTGTGGGCCACTGCGCTTGGCCAGATTGAATCTTTAGTTAGAAAACAAAAAATTCCCTGGTAGCATATTTTTTGTTTTGACCTTTTCTAGAGTGTTGCTGAGACGGTGACAGAGGGAGCGCTGTCGAATTGAGGATTCGGGTGAAGTGAGCCTCGGCTCACCAGGGTTTCTCACCGCAGGGCGAGGGGTGGCAGTCTGGCTTGAGTTTGTTTCCTCTTTGCAGCTTTTCACACAACCTTAGCAGTGAAAGGGGGCATCCACTTTGCTGTGTTGATAGGGTCACAGGGCTTGTGATGTGGCTCCTCTGAGGGCTCACGGCACGGTCGTGGTCAACCTGGGATTTGAACCCAGACCTCTCTGCTCCCTGTCCAGCGTTTCTCTGGTGTGCCCAGCATGGGGGACACAGATCCCAGTTGGGCCCATCAGCTGGAGGCTCAGACCCACAGCCTTCTGTGGGCAATGCTTAGAAATGGCCCGTGGGGGCCGGGTGCGGTGGCTCACGCCTGTAATCCCAGCACTTTGGGAGGCCGAGGTGGGCGGATCATCTGAGGTCAGGAGTTCGAGACCAGCCTGGCCAACATGACGAAACCCCGTCTCTACTAAAAATACAAAAAAAAAAAAAAATTGGCCAAGCGTGGTGGCACATGCCTGTAATTCCAGCTACTCAGGAGGCTGAGGCAGGCGAATTGCTTGAACCTGGGAGGCAGAGGTTGCAGTGAGCTGAGATTGTACGATTGCACTCCAGCCTGGGTAACAGAGCGAGACTCTGTCTCACAAAAATAAAAAATAAAAAAAAATAAAAAATAAAAGAAATGGCCCGTAAGAGCTCTAACTGCATTCTTCTCTGTCCTTGAAGAGTCCAGCGTCTCTCCCCCTGGCTCCCGGCTGTGCGCTGAGGCTTTGTCCCCTGTCCTTTGGCGAAGGAGTGGAGTTTGACCCCTTACCACCAAAGGAAGTAAGGTAAATATAGCAGGCCCCAATTTTATTCTTTTTTTTTTTTTAACAATTTTTATTTTTTATTCCAGATATTAATGCTTGTTGTTATAAAAAATTAGTTAATTGCAAAAGTATGACAGAGATGATTAATAGTTTGGTGGGTCCTCTTTCTGTTCCTGCATTCTAACCAATTAAATATATAGACATGCTTTTAAAATTAAAATAAAAATGAGATCATGTTATGTATAAAGTTCTGCATTTTCTTTTTGCAATTCATGTATCATGGCTGTCAGAGGGTTACAATTTTGTCAAATATTAATTCTTCTTTCCAGAAGCTGCTGTACCCTACTCCCTTACCTGCCAACCCAGTCTCTGAGGTCTTTTAACCTTGTCTCATAGTATAATTTCACTAGGCAAGCGCTGGTCTTCCTCTGGGGATTATCTCATCCAGGATTATCTGGGGGCAAAGATGCATTGAAAGGCTCAGGTAAAGAGAGGTCTTTTTAGAGAAAGGAGTTTTACTTTTGGTACCTGATGGTTTGATAGCTGGAGTTTCTGCTGCAGTAACACAAAGGCCCCTTTGACATGGAACAAAGACGAGGTTCATCAGTTGGGAGGTGAGCAGTTCAGCCTTTTGTTCCTGTGGAGCTTGTATTTTGAACAAAATGGGGCCATGACTCCCACCAGCCTCTTAACTACTTGCCTGAGGAGGAGAGATGAAATTTCCGTTCCACTCACAGAAAAGAATTCTGATTCTTACTCACCTGACCAGTGGGTAGGGGCTGGTTGGAGGCAGTGCTGTTAGATGTGTCTGTATGTGACGCTCATACTCTTTTCAGTATCTACAAAGCTATAAGCATTCAGTAAAATGCATTAAAGCTTTGCTTCTGTAAGAAAAGTAACTTTTGGGCCAGGCACGGTGGCTCACGCCTAGAATCCAGCATTCTGGCAGACTGAAGCAGGAGTTCGAGACCAGCCTGGGCAACAACAGTGAAACCCTGTCTCTACAAAAAATACAAAAATTACCTGGGAATGGTGGTGCACGCCTGTAGTCCCAGCTACGCAGGAGGCTGAGGTGAGAGGATCGCTTGGGCCCAGGAGGTGGAGGCTGTGGTGAGCTGAGACCACCCCACTGCACCACTCCAGAGTGGGCGAGAAAGCGAGACTCCATTTCCGAAAAACAAAAAAAAAAAAAAGAAAGAAAAGAAAAGAAAACTGACTCCCAAAATTAAAAGAAGGACTTGAAAAAATTAAATGCCTGAGGAACACAGATGCTAATTTATCTTATGGAAATCAAGATGATAATTGGCTTTCATTGATAAGTCAGATACCCAGATATGTAGGTTTAGGGAGGGTCCCCAAACCAAATGCCAAGGTGAACAAAGTATTAATATTTGGTATAGCCAAACTTTCAGAACCAGCATTCAAGGTTTCTGGGTTCCTTTATCCTCTCATTAAAGAGCTGATAGGGTGGGTGCGGCGGCTCATGCCTGTAATCCCAGCACTCTGGGAGGCTGATGCAGGAGGATTGCTCGAGCCCAGGAGTTTAGGACCAGCCTGGGCGACACAGGAAGTCCTCATCTCTACAAAGAATAAAAGATATGTTGTTTAAAAAAAAAAAACACAAAAAAAGAGGCCAGGTGCAGTGGTTCATGTCTATAATCCCAGCGTTTTGGGAGGCCAAGGCAGGCAGATCACCTGAGGTCGGGAGTTTGAGACCAGCCTGGTCAACATGGTGAAACCCCGTCTCTAGTAGAAATACAAAAATTAGCAGGGCGTGGTGGCGGGCGCCTGTAATCCCAGCTACTCAGGAGGCTGAGGCAGGAGAATCACTTTAACCTGGGAGGCGGAGGTTGCAGTGAGCTGAGATTGCACCACTGCACTCTAGCCTGGGTGACAGAGCGAGACTCCATCTCAAAAAAAAAAAAAAAAAAAGAGGAAACGGAGGCTCGGAAGAGTGAAGTAACTTGGCTGAGGTCTTAAGCTTGTGCGAGTGGGAGCAGGATCCAGGGCTGCTGCCCGCAGTGGCTAACAGTGATGTGGGGCCAGCTTTGGAAGCCTGCACCCCTGTATTTAAATCCCAGCTCCAGTACTCAGTGGCGCTGTGACCTTCACCTCTGCACCTCGGTTTCTTCTCTCAGGGTCGTTGGGGAGATTAAATTGGATCCCGTAAGTAAAGTACTTAGACGACGGGTACCTGGCACATAGTAAGTACTTTATAGACTCTGTGACCCTATGCTGCTTCTCACTGGGGCGGCCACGTTTCTACATGTGCACCCCACAAATGACTCACGGTCACAGTGGGGACCCCAAGCCCCCGGCTCAGAGGAGCGGCTTCACGCGGCCTCTTATGTCTCCCGCCCAGGTACACCTCCTTGGTCAAGTACGACTCCGAGAGGCACTTCATCGACGACGTGCAGCTGCCCCTGGGCCTGGCGGTGGCCTCCTGCAGCCAGACGGTCACCTGTGTCCCCAATGGCACGTGGCGCAACTACAAGGCCGAGGTGCGCTTCGAGCCACGCCACAGGCCCACCCGCTTCCTCAGTACCACCATCGTGTACCCCAAGTACCCCAAGGCCGTCTACACCACCACCCTGGATTACAACTGCCGCAAGACGCTGAGGAGGTTTCTGTCCAGCGTGGAGCTCGAAGCCGCGGAGCTCCCGGGCAGCGACGACCTCTCTGATGAATGCTGACCCAGCAGGCTGGGCTGGGGTCGGACCGGCTCTCCCGCTGTCCTGCCCCCGACTGCCCTGGCCAAGCTGGGCGACCTTACCCTTCACGTCATTCCAGCCCCAGAGGAGTCTAACCTAGAGATACCTCCAAGCGCGGCCGGGGGAAGAGAAAAAAAAGAAAAAATCACTGCATCTCATAATTATTGAGATCTTTGTGTTGTAATTTTCAAGCTGTTTTTAGAGGGAATATATGTCCTGGTTTGCTGCTGTGTTGTTTCCCCAAAGTCTCAATCAGATGAGGCAACAAAAAGACCACCAGAATTGCAGGAAAGCAGCAGCAGTCTGGGATAGGGAGGGGGGAGGAGAGCTCTCCCTCCGTGGTCAGTTTGTCAGAAGAAAAGCATGGAAAAAGTGAGATTTAAGAAATCTCAGCCACGGGTGTCTTCACTGCACAAAAGTGGTGCTAATTCAGTAAACAGTGACACCTGTGTGGGTTCAATCTGTGGAGAGTTGAGTTCCATTCCTTTGTTTTTAAATTTCCACCTCCATTTGTGTTTCCTATTAACCTAAACTCTTGTAATTCTCTAAATCTTTTTTCATGATATAAAAAAAAAAGAAAATCCCAAACCACAATTTAAGATGCCTTTTTTTTTTAAAAAAAAAGGTTCTCCGTGTTGCCACCTGCTCCGGGAAGGCCAGGCCGATGGGCGGCCAGGTTTGGGAGCAGCGGCTTCGGCTCCGATTGCTTCCTGACGGTCAGTTCCAAGCACAGGCTCTGAGAAACGCCTCGAACCCTTGGTATCTGGTGACCGTCTCCGCAGGCTTCCGTGAGTCTCCGATAGGTGTTTTGGGCTTTTGGAATACTTTCAGAATACTTTCCCATTTTTTCATAAGGCAAAACGGAGTGGACGGCCTTTTTTTGAGAGAAACAGCATTCTAAGAGTGTGCTTGGAAAACACACTTTTTGGGAGTCCACGTGGGGAGTGGACACTCAGGACAGGAAGCGGTGGCCCTAAGACCTGCGGCCACCCGGAGGAGGCAGACGCAGGCGATGACCTGGTTCATCATGAGAGGAGCTAGAGTTGACTCAGTCTTAGGATCTCGATGGCGTCAGAATTGCAGAGGGTTTCTGCCAGTGCCTTAGGTCTAATTCAGAAAGCAAGGAAGGCTGGGCACGGTGGCTGGCGCCTGTAGTCTCAGCTACTTGGAAACTGAGGCAGGAGGATCTCTTGAGCCCAAGAATTCGAGACCGGTCTGGCAACATAGTGAGCCTCCATCTCTAAAAAAAAGTGGCAAAGCTGAGGAAATCTGTGCCCCCATCCCCCGACACCAGACAAGCTAAGGTGCATTCAGAGTAGGGAACGATGTCAAAACCTGGCCGCCGTGGTGGCGCGCATTCCTCTCACACCACCGTACGGAGGCAGGTGACAGTCAACTGAAATGTCCCCAAGGACCGTGTGAATTCGGCTGGCGTGGCCCAGCAGCGGGGTGGACCAGGGTGCGGTGGCTTCAGACCTGCCTCCCGCCACCCCGTCCTCCCCTAACCCCTTCTTGGGACCTCCTGCCAATCCCTGTGGTGTTTGAGTAAAGAAAGTGGCTGATGGTTTTACTTTTTTCTTCCAATATTGGAAAGAACAAACTAGATATTCCCCTTGAACACATCCAAATTATTTCCAGTGCCTGAGGGTTACCGAGCACTGTAAGCTCAGCTCGGCTGTAGCTCCGGGTTTCTGCCGATGGCCTCCATCTGCGCCGAAAGCTGAACTGAGCCCCGCGGTGCCCCGGAGCCACAGCAGCAGGTGCAGCGACAATCGCCGTCGTGCGCAGTCGCTGGAGTCCTGGAGAGCCACGCTGTCCTCTGCAGACAACAGCATCAGTCCGCTGTGCCCCAATGCATCGACGCCCTGTGGACGGGGCCTGCAGTCCACCCGTGGTCTGAGCTTGCCGGGCTGAAGCTCGGCTGGGACCCAGGGAGGGGCCACCCTGGGACCCACAGTCTCCTCAGTCACGTGCAGAGCAAAAAATGCTTCCTGTGTTTGGAAGAGCAAGTGACGCAGCATTTATTGATAAAAATGGATTTTTCTGTCTGATTTCATGCTGTGGTCGTTTAAGTGGTCAATGTCTTTTTTTTTTTTTTTTTTGACATGGAGTCTCGCTCTGTTGCCCAGGCTGAGTGGAATGGCGCCAACTCAGCTCACTGCAACCTTCACCTCCCAGGCTCAAGCGACTCTCCTGCCTCAGCCTCCTGAGCAGCTGGGATTACAGGTGCCCACCACCACGCCCAGCTAATTTTTGTATTTTTAGTAGAGACGGGGTTTCACCATGTTGGCCAGGCTGGTCTCGAACACCTGACCTTGTGATCCACCCGCCTCGGCCTCCCAATAATTTGTAAGTTATGTTAGCGGGATCCTCAAGGCCTTGCTTTGCCCCGTGGAGACGCTTGCTCGGATGAGCTCAGGAAACAGTACCGGCTGCGTGGCAGGTCTGGGTGTTGTGTGCGAGGACGTGGCCTTTGAACACCGCTGTGTTCTCAGAGGTCCTTAGGAGATATTTTTTTTTGTCTTAGGGGGACTGTGTTAAGTTCAGACAAATCATGCTGGGTGTGTAGAGAGTGTGAAATACGTCAGTGAAGTAAGTAGCAGTGAGCGATTGTGAATGTGTAATGTAAATGGAAAACCGGGTTTTACCGTGTTAAGTTATTCACTAGGGAGCCAGTCGTAGTTCTTTGTAATCCTCTTTCTTCCAAACCTGCTTTGCTGAAAGTTGCAGAAAAGGAAGTGTGTGGAGAGAAACAGAACCCTTCAGGGTGGGTCAGAGGACGCCATCCACAGTGGATTCGTGTTCGTTTGCAGGTGGAAGCAGTGATTTTTAGGACCCACTGATTAAAAACAAACATTCCCAAGTGTCTCTGAGAGATGCTGTTTATTTGTTAATTAAAAAGCTTTTTTCTCTGTCTTTTAAATTATGGCTTTCATGTAATAAGGATATTTTTAGTGAAAAATTGTTTTCCTTTCAAATTACAGACCTTTTAAAAAAACTTAATTTGAGCGAGTACCTTTTCATTTGACACTTTTCCTGTTTCTAACCTTAGGAAACCAGAATAGCGTTTGGCAGACACGACGTTTTCAGTTTACCTTTGACACCTGCCCCACTCCATTTTGCTTTGTGATGTCTTCATTTAACAATAAATTATCTGAAAAAACAAAACTTAGAGAGATGCTTCTGTTTTTAAAGTAGAATTATGTTTGTTTACGCAAAATGAGAAAAACAGCTCCTCATCTTGAGAAATTTTAAGACGTGATTATATTTAACAGTATTAATCTACAAGTACAAGATTTTCCGAGTGTGGCTGGGCATGGTGGCTCACACCTATAATCCCAGCGCTTCACAAGGCCAAGGCTGGAGGATCACTTGAGGCCAGGAGTTCGAGATCAGCCTTGGCAATGCAGTGTGACCCCATCTCTACAAAAATTAAAAATTAAAAAAGAAAGGGGCCAGGCGCCGTAGCTCCCTCCTGTAATCCCAGCACTTTGGGAGGCTGAGGCGGGCGGATCACCTGAGGTCAGGAGTCCGAGACCAACCTGACCAACCTGGTGAAACCCCGTCTCTACTAAAAATACCAAAATTAGCCAGGTATGGTGGGGCACACCTGTAATCCCAGCTACTTGGGAGGTTGAGGCAGGAGAATCACTTGAACCCGGGAGGCGGAGGTTGCAGTGAGCTGAGATCACGCCATTGCACTCCAGCCTGGGTGATGGAGCGAGACTCCATCTCAAAAAATAAATAAATAAAAATAAATAATTTCTGTAGCTTGCTTCAGGGGAGAAAAGGGTGAGGGAAGATCAGAGAGCCCTTCGCTTCTGCCGTTTTCTCAGTTTCCTTGAGCTTAAAATACACAGCAAGCGAAAGTACCGTATTTTGGGGCAGCATTTCCTGCACGCCATCCGTCCCTTTGGGCAAAGCAAAGAGAGAGTCAACAAGAAATATTGAAAATGGATGGAGGCCCTGTATTTCATTCAAGCATCCAATTCACGGCAAGGCTGTGTGTGTATTTGTCTGTCTTTGAGTGATGACTGGGAAGTAATTATGTCCCAGAGATGCAGCTCCCTCTTGGATGCTGATCTCCCCTACTGACTTCGGATTCACCCCAGCTCAGCGAATGCCTCTATTTTATCTATTTTATCTACGGTTTCTTGTATAGGAACGTGTACTCAGCACAAATCCTGCCCTGAGGCAGATTCACATAGCGTTCCTGCCTTTCCCTGCGAGCGTCCCACACAACCCTTCCCTACGGTGGACGAGTCCTGGGTCTAGGGGTAACGGTGCAGGGACCCACCATCTCCCCTAGCTGCTGCCTGGGACCTCATGGCTTCTGCTCATGAGGCTCTATTAGATGTTTCTTTCTGTTTTGCTTTGTTTTATTGAGACAGGATCTCCCTCTTTCTCCCAGGCTGGAGTGGAGTGGCACAATCATAGTTCACTGCTGCCCAAGAACCTCTGGACACAAATTATCTGCCCACCTCAGCCTCCCGAGTAGCTGAGACTACAAGCATGTGCCACCACATCAGGCTAATTTTTAAATTTTTTTTGTAGAGATGAGGTTTCGCCATATTGCCCAGGCTGGTTTCGAACTCCTGGGCTCAAGCAATCTTCCTGTCTTACCGTCCTAAAGTTTTGGGATTACAAGTGTGAGCCACTGTGCCCATCTTAAATGTTTCTTTCTGAGGAACTAAATCTGTCAGCCTCTTTCTTCCAGCTCTCAGCTTCCCTGAACCTTGAGGATAGGTTTCCATAGGTCTGCCCATTGCGAAACAAATGCAGAGTATCGTTTCTGTAATTTTTTTTCCAGTCCCCTTTTAATAGGAATGATGCCTGATTTGGCTGACTGGGATAACAATGAGGGCTAATTTTGCCAATTAGGTTATATGGTGTAAATATTCCATAAAATGAATTGGCTAATCAGCAGTTCCAAGGTTTTGAGGGAAAAATATTTAAAGCACATAAGATTAAGGTACAGGGATGTGTGGGTGTGGGCACGTGCAGAGAAATAGTCAAAAGGGTGTTGAAACCAGTCATGTCCCCAACCTTTCTAAGTATCTCAGATTAAGCTGGTGCTCCCAAGAGGAAAAGTAGTAGGGATAATTAACAATAATATGATGAATCTCAAAAAGCCTTTTTGGTATAGTCTCTGGAAATTTAAGAAGCGAATGACTCTATTGATTAGGTAGCAAATCCCATTGCAAAGAATATGTCTTTCCAAAATGCTGATAATTTTATTTAAGAATAATCCCTATCAAGTAGTTTGTTTTTATTACTATTTTCCAAATTGCTTAGAAATACAAATAAGGTTCTATGATCAAATAAGTTTGGGGACATGAAAAGCTGAACAAGCTGAGTGTGTTTATTACAGGGCTGCTTGGGATGTTTGTATCGGTCAGCTCTTGCTGTGTAACAACCACCCTAAAAATCACACCACTGCATACAAGAGTAAGCATTTATTTCTTGCATACAAATCTATAGTCCGATACAGCAGTTCTGCCTCTGGCTAAGTGTTGAATTCAGATCTGTTCCACTCAGCCCTGAAACAGGTTAGAGAGGTGGCTTGGCCATGTTTTTCTCAGGGCAGAAGTGCTGTAATACCTCCTAAGGTCTACACTGGGACCTGGCACGCTGTTACTTCCACCCACATTCTATTGGCCAAAGCAAGTTACTTGGATGGATACACCAAACATCAAAAGTCAGGGTACCATACTTCTTCCACGGATGTGGGGAGAAGCAGTGAATATTCGCTCTATAATCACCTACCCCAGCGGTTAATATGGTAATGTGCGTTGAGAGTCTTCAACAGAGGAAATCTAGTAGATGGCACTTTCCAAACTCACTGGATCACAGAACCCACGAGCATTTCATGGGACTAATGTTTTTGGAATAAACTTTCAGAAATGCTAGTTCTTTTTGTTTTTGTTTTTTGTTGTTGTTTTTTTTTTTTGAGACAGATTCTTACAGTGTTGCCCAGGCTGGAGTGCAGTGGTGTGATCTCTGCTTACTGCAACCTCAGCCTCCTGGGTTCAAGTGATTCTTTTGCCTCAGCCTCCTGAGTAGCTGGGATTACAGGCGTGCACCACCACACCTGCCTAATTTTTTGTATTTCTAGTAGAGACGGGGTTTCACTATGTTGGCCAGGCTCGTCTTGAACTCCTGACCTCGTGATCTGCCCGCCTCAGCCTCCCAAAGTGCTGGGGTTACAGGCATGAGCCACTGCGCCCGGCCAAGAAATGCTAGTTTATATTCATAACATTCAGAGTCCAGTCAGGGAAACCAAAACCGTACTAGATATTTAACACAGAGAGCTGCTCACACAGATGTTGGAAGGCTGGGCGAACAGGGTATACGGAAGTCACCCAGATTATCATGAACTTCAAGAGGCAGCTCCCACGCCTAGCACCACTCTGATGGCAATTTCCACCTACAGCAGCTAGAAAAAGATGAGCAAATTAAACTCCAAGTAAGAAGAAGGAATTTAATAATGAATATTTAATAATAAAGATAGAAGTATAAAGCAATGAAATAGAGACAGACAAATCATTGTGAATTTTTTTAAATAAAAATTGTGATTCTTTGAAAAGATTGGAAAAAATTGATAAACTTCGGCTAGATTGATGAAGAAATAGCCAGAAAGCAAAAATTACAATATCATAATTGAATAGAGATCCGACAGACCTCGAAAGTATAATAAGATAACTTTACAAACAACTTTATGTTGATAAATTAGACAACTTGGATAAAATAGAAAAATTTCTTTAAAAAAAGCATCTTACCAAACTGACACAAGATGAAATAGACAAGAAGAATACACACATCTGTACAAACTATTTACATAAAATGATAATATACATGTATCAAAGGAATTTTTCTCACAAAGGAAACCCCAGGTCTAGATGATGGTGAATACTATCAAACATTCAAGGAAGAAATAACACCAATCGTACACACACCTGTTTGGAAAGCGGAGGCAGAAGGAACGCTCTCCAGTTTGTTCCGAGGCCAGCATTTCTGTGATTCCACAGCCTAACACAGCCATTGAATGAAAACCATAGACTAATATCATTCATGAATATAGATAGAAAAATCCTTAAGAAAAATAAGTGAATTAAATCCAGGAATATATAAAAAGGATCATAGGTCATAACTAAATGTGGTTCATCCCAGGAATGCAGGGTTGGTTTAACATTTGAAAATCAATCAATGTAATTCACCATACTGACAGGTTAAAACAACAACGAGAAAGAAC
Source organism: Homo sapiens (assembly GCF_000001405.40). Taxonomy (NCBI): domain Eukaryota; kingdom Metazoa; phylum Chordata; class Mammalia; order Primates; family Hominidae; genus Homo; species Homo sapiens. Next base: position 33,256 of record NW_017363817.1, on the reverse strand, counting down.
ATACAATTATCTCCATAGATGCAGAGAAAACATTTGACAACATTTAACACTTATGTGTGATAAAAGCTCTCAGCAAAGCAGGAATAGAAGGAAACTTTTCCAACCTAGTAAAAGGCATCTGTGAGAAACCTTCAAGTACTTCATGGTGAAAAGAGTGAATGTTTCCAAGTGGGGGAACAAGGCAAGGACATTCACTCTAACCACTGAGTGTCGACATTGTGTTGGATTCGTCTGTGAATAATATAAGAAAAGGAAGAACATGCAGATTTTAAAGGAAGAAGTAATATTCTCCCATATGCAGAAAACACAATCACCGTGAAATGCATTTAATGAGAAAACACTGAACGCCGACCTCCTAAGATTGGGAATGAGGCAAGAATACTCACTTCACCATTGTATTGTCGGTCGTAGCCCATGAAATAAGGCAAGAAAAATAAAAGGTATAAAGATTGGAAAGGGGCCGGGCACGGTGGCTCATGCCTGTAATCCCAGCACTTTGGAGGCCAAGGCAGGAGGATCGCCTGAGGTCAGGAGTTCGAGACCAGCCTGACCAACATGGTGAAACCCCGTCTCTACTAAAAATACAAAAATTAGCTGGGCGTGGTGGTGGACACCTGTAATCTCAGCTACTCAGGAGGCTGAGGCAGGAGAATCACTTGAACCCAGGAGGCAGAGGTTGCAGTGAGCTGAGATTGCGCCATTGCACTCCAGCCTGGGTGACAGAGTGAGACTCTGTCTCAAAAAAAAAAAAAAAATTGGAAAGGAAGAAGTAAAACTGTCCCTGTACATAGATGACATGACTGTTTACATATAGAAAAATCTTACAGAATCAACCAAAATATTATTAGAATTAATAACTAAATATATCAAGGTCTCAGAATACAATGTGGATATATGAGTCAATTGTGTTTCTATATACTGGTAACAAAAATGAAATTTAAATCATAAATTTATATGTCACAAATCACAAAATACTTAGGAATAAATAAAATCACATGCAGTCTTTACATTGAACACTCTAAAACACTGCAGAGGGAAATTAAGGAACATGCAAATAAACGAAGTACACCGTGTTCCTGGAGTGGAAGACTTGCCACTAAGATGTCACCTGTCTCCAAACTGTACTATAGATTCAACGCAATCCCAGTCATAATCCAACAAAGTGTTTGTTTTTTAATTAAATAAAGTTTGAAAGTTTGTTTTAAAATTTATATAGGGTGAGGCATGGTGGCTCACAGCCTGTAATGCCAGCACTTTGGGAGGCCGAGGCGGGTGGATCAGCTGAGGTCAGCAGTTCAAGGCCAGCCTGGCCAACGTGGTGAAACCTGGTCTCTACTAAAAATACAAAAATTAGCTGGGCATTGTGGCACATGCCTGTAATCCCAGCTAATCGGGAGGCTGAGGCAGGAGGAGAATCGACTGTACCTGAGAGACAGAGGTTGCAGTGAGCTGAGATCACACCACTGCACTCCAGCCTGGGCCACAGAGCAAGATTCAATCATAAAAAAAAAAAAAATTAGCTGGACGTGGTGGTGGGTGCCTGTAGTCCCAGCTGCTCGGGAGGCTGAGGCAGGAGAATCGCTTGAACCTGGGAGGTGGAGGTTGCAGTGAGCCGAGACCATGCCGCTGCACTCCAGCCTGGGTGACAGAGCGAGACTGTCTCAAATAAATAAAAATAAAATTTATATAGAAATTTAAGGAACCTAGAATAGCCAAAATAATCTCAAAAAAAGAAAAACACCAACTGATTTTAAAGCTACAGTTATCAAGACAGTATAGGGCCAGATGTAGTCGCTCACACCTGTAATACCAAAACTTTGGGAGGCTGAAGTGGGAGGATCACTTGAGCCCAGGAATTTGAGACCAGCTTGGGCAACATAATGAGACTCCATCTCTACAAAAAAATAAAAAATTAGCTGGGTGTGGTGGTGTGCACCTGTAGTCCTAGCTACTTGGGAGGCTAAGGCAGGAGGATTGCTTGAGCCCAGGAGTTTGAGGTTACAGCGAACTATGATGGTGTCACTGTACTCCAGCCTTGGTGACAAAGCAAGACCTTGTCTTGGAAAAAAAGGTAGTATAATTTGTCTTAAAGATAGACATGTAAGTGGGACAGAATAGGAGTCCCATAGTAGACCTGTTGCAAATTGATTTTGACAAAGACGCCAAAGCAATTTGATGGGGAAAGGAGAGCATTTTCAGTAAATGGGGCTGGAACCACCAGTTCTCTATATGGGGAAAAAAGTAAACCTCAACCTCTACCACATACCACGAGCAAAAATTAATTCCAGATAGATTATAGACCTAAATGTAAATGTTTAAAAGAAAAGCTAGGAGAAAGTCTTTAAGACCTGCGGGGTGCAGCGGCTCATGCCTGTAATCCCAGCACTTTGGGAGGCCAACACGGACGGATCGCTGGAGGCCAGAAGTTTGAGACCAGCCTGGCCAACATGATGAAACCCCGTCTTTACTAAAAATACAAAAATTAGCCAGGTGTGGTGGCGGGCACCTGCAGTCCCAGTACTCAGGAGACTGAGGCACAAGGATTGCTTGAACCCAGGAGGTGGAGGTTGCAGTGAGCTGAGATTGCAGCATTGCACTCTAGACTGGGCGAGAGAGCAAGACTCTATCTTGGGGGGAAAAAAAGACCTGAGAGTGGGCAAAAATTTTTTTCTTTTTTCTTTTCTTTTTTTTTTTTTTGAAAGGAGTCTTGCTGTGTCATCCAGGCTGGAGTGTAGTGGCACGATCATAGCTCACTGCAATCTTGAACTCCTGAGCCCAAGCAATCCTCCCATCTCAGCCTCCCAAGCAGCTGGAACTGCAGGTGTGTGCCACCACACCCAGTCAATTTTAATTTTAATTTTGTAGAGATAAGATTTTGCTATGTTGCTTAGGCTGATCTTAAACTTCTGACCTCAAACAATCCTCCCATCTTGGCCTCCCCAAGTTCTAGGATTATAGGCATAAGACGCCATACCCAGCCCAAAGAGTTCTTAAACAGGATACAGAGTGAATAACCATAAAGACAAAAAGTAACAAACTTGTTTCATCAAAATTAAAAACCTCTGTTCTTTAAAGACTCTGTTAAGAAAGCATAAGTCAAGACTGGGAGAAAAATTCACATCTGACAAAGGACTTGTATCCAGAATATGCAAAGAGCTCTTTAAGTCAACTTTTTTTTTTTTTTTTTTTTGAGACAAGGTCTCGCTCTGTCACCCAGACAGTGATGCAATTATGGCTCACTGCAGCTTCAACTTCCTGGCCCCAAGCTGTCCTCCCACCTCAGCCTCCTGAGTAGCTGGGACTACAGGCACGTGCCACCATGCCTGGCTAATTTTTTTGTATTTTTGTAGAGATGGGGTTTCACTATGTTGCCCAGGCTGGTCTTGAACTCCTGGGTTCAAACAATCCTCCCACCTCAGCCTCCCAGAGTGCTGGGGTTACAGCCGTGAGAACGACCCTATTAAAAATGAGCAAAAGACTTGAACAGACAGTTCACAAAGGAAGATATATGGATGGGAAATAAGCCCATGAAACGGTGTTCAAAACCATTAGGTATCAGGGAAATGCAGATTAAAGCTATGATTAAATATAATTTGATGCTTATCTATGAGAAATGAAAACATAGGTCCACCAAAATGCTTGCACATAAGAAAGTTACTGGTCATTCTGTTGATAGTCATATGATGAAGAGACCAAAATGTCCATCCATCAACAGAGTAATTGATAAACAAAAATATAGTGTATATTAATATATATAATAGAATACTATTTAGACCAGGCACGGTGGCTCACACCTGTAATCCCAGCATTTTGGGAGGCCGAGGCGGGCGGATCATCTGACGTCAGGACTGCGAGACCAGCCTGACCAACATGGTGAAACCCCGTCTCTACTAAAAATACAAAATTAGCCAGGCCTGGTAGCACATGCCTGTCATCCCAGCTACTCAGGAGGCTGAGGCAGGAGAATCACTTGAACCCAGGAGGTGGAGGTTGCAGTGAGCCGAGATCGCACCATTGCACTCCAGCCTGGGTGACAAGAGGGAAACTCTGTCTAAAAATATATATATATACACACACAGACATATATATATATATATATATACACACACACACAGACATATATATACACACACACACAAAATAGAATACTATTTAACAATAAACAGGAATAAATTGCTGATACATGTAATATCGTGGGTGACTTGCATAGACATGATGCTGACAGGCATCAAAGGATGCATATAGTATGATTCCACTTAAGAGATTCTAAAACAGGCAAAAGGACTCTAGGTTGAAAAGAATTAGACTAATGATTACCTAGATGTGTGTGTATGGTGGTTGGTGACTTACTGGGAAGGAACATAAGGATCCTTTCGATGGAAATTCAAATGTTTCAGATCACGAGGGGGTAGGTACATGGGTACAGGTTAAGCTAAATGCAGGAGGAATTTAGTTTATAGTTTAATTTTGAAGCAAAGATAACAATCTGATATGGTTAGGCTTTGCATCCCCACCCACATCTCATCTTGAATTGTAATCCCTATAATCCCCACAGGTGGGGGTGGTTGGATCGTGGGGGCAGCTCCCCCCATCCTGATCTGGGGATAGTGAATTCTCATGAGATTATAATCCCCACAGGTGGGGGTGGTTGGATCGTGGGGGCAGCTCCTCACATGCTGATCTGGGGATAGTGAATTCTCACGAGATCCAATGGCTGTTTAAGGAGCTCTTCCCCCTCCGCTCAGCACTTCTCCTTCCTGCCGCCTTGTGAAGAAGGTGGTTGCTTTCCCTTCACGTTCTGCCATGATTGTAAGTTTCCTGAGGCCTCCCCAGGCATGCTGAACTGTGAGTCAATTAAAGTCAATTAAACCTCTTTCCTTTATAAATTACCCAGTCTTGGGCAGTTCTTTACAGCAGAGTGAAAACAGACTAATACACAACCCCTTTCCAAACCAAACCCCTTTCGGTTGTTGACAGAAGATGCAATGAATGCCTATATTTCTAAAGCCAAGGAGCTGATAGAAAAATATGGAAATTAGAATAAAGCATAGGAGAAATTTTTCCTTTTTTTTTTTGAGACTGAGTCTTGCTCTATCACCCAGGCTGGACTGTGGTGGTGTGATCTCGGCTCACTGCAACCTCCACCTCCCGGGTTCAAGTGATTCTTGTGCCTCAGCCTCCCGAATAGCTGGGATTACAGATACGTGCCACCACGCCCAGCTAATTTTTGTATTTTTAGTAGAGACGGGGTTTCACCATGTTGGCCAGGATGGTCTCGAACTCCTGACCTCAAATGATCCGCCCACCTTGGCCTCCCAAAGTCCTGGGATTGCAGGCATGAGCCACTGTGCCCGGCTGAAATTTTTCCCTTTGAAGGAAATGGTATCACAACCTAACATTTAGAGAGAGAGATGCTGGTTCACTCTATGTATCAGGTATATTTTTGCTATTAGCATGAATTGTAGTACTTAATTAGGAGTATGGTGAAACTACATAGTTAACTAAATTGTAGTTGCTTAAAGCAGGTGTCTTTAAAAGTTCTTTTAGAAAAGTGTTTATTTTTTATTTTTATAGATTTAGGGGGTACGGATGCAGTTTTGTTACGTGGATATATTATATAGTGGCCAAGTCTGGGCTTTTGGTGTGCCCATCACTCAAATAGTGTACATTGTACCAAAAAGGTAATTTCTCATCTCTCACCCTCCTCCCACCTCCCCACCTTTCCAAGTCTCCAGTCTCTCTTATTGCACATTCCATGACCCTGTGCACACATGGTTTAGCTCCCACTTTTACATGAGAACATGTGGTGTTTGACTTTTGGTTTCTGAGTTGTTTCATTTGGGATGATGGCCTCCAGCTCCAACATGTTGCTGCAAAAGACATGGTTTTATTCTTTTTTTATGGCTGAGGGGTATCCATGGTATACATTTGCCATATTTTCTTTATTCAGTTGCCCGTGGATGGGCGCTTAGATTGATTCCATGTCTTCACTATTGTGAGTTGTGCTGCATTGGACCTGCAAGTGTGGGTGTCTGCATTGGACCTGCGAGTGTGGGTGTCTGCATTGGACCTGCGAGTGTGGGTGTCTGCAATGGACCTGCGAGTGTGGGTGTCTGCATTGGACCTGCGAGTGTGGGTGTCTGCATTGGACCTGCGAGTGTGGGTGTCTTTTGGATAGAAGAGTTTCTTTTCCTTTGGGTGGACACCCACGGTGGGATTGTTGGGTAGAATGGTAGTTCTACTTTTGGTTCTCTGAGAACTCTCCATGCTGGTTTTTCTTGAGGGTTGTGCTGATTTACATTCCCACAAGCAGCATGCAGGCCTTCCCTCTTCTCTACGTCCTTGCCAACATCTGTTGTTTTTTGACTTTGTAGAAAGTCTTGCCCTGGTAGTATGTATACAGACTTTAATAATTGATTGTTCTTTTGGCTCGTCTGTTCTTCTACAATGAGTTAGTGTTACTGGTATAATAAAAACAGGAATTAAGAATCAAAAAATAATAAGAATCAAATAAATGGCCAGGCACACTGGCTCACACCTATAATCCCAGCACTTTGGGAGGCTGAGGTGGGGGCATCACTTGAGGTCAGGAGTTCAAGACCAGCCTGGCCAACATGATGAAACCCCATCTCTACTAAAAAATACAAAAATTAGCTGGGCGTGGTGGGAAGCACCTGTAATCCCAGCAACTCCAGAGGCTGAAGCAGGAGAATCACTTGAACTGGGCAGGCGGAGGCTGCAGTGAGCCGAGATCACACCACTGCACTTCAGCCTGGGCAACAGAGTGAGACTCCATCTCAAAAACAAACAAACAAACAAAAAGCCCTTTCTTCCCAAAGTATATACTTTGTCAAAATGGTACAACTAAGATTTGTGGGCCATGTGCCGTGGCTCATGCCTGTATTCCCAGCACTCTGGGAGGCTGAGGGAGGTGGATTGCTTGAGCCCAAGAGTTTGAGACTAGCCTGGTCAACATGACAAAACCTTGTTTCTACAAAAAATACAAAAATTAGTTGAGCGCAGTGGCGTGAACCTGTAGTCCCAGCTACTTGGGAGGCTGAGGTGGGAGAATCGGTTGAACCTGGGAGGTGGGGATTGCAGTGAGCCTTGATCATACCACTGCCCTCCAGCCTGGGCAACAGGGCAAGACCCTGTCTCACAAAAAACAAACAAAAAACAAAAACAAACAAAAAACAAACAGGATTTGTACATTCTAATGTAATTTTTTTCTCAAAGAAAATGCAGAGTCATCCAAAGGGTTGATCTTGCCCACTGCACAGAGAGAGCCAATTTACCAAGACAGCAGTATTGCAACAGAGAAAGAGTTTAATAAACACAGAGCCAGCTAAGCAGAAGAACAGGAGTTTATTATTGCTCAAATCTGCCTCTGAAAATTCAGAGGCTAGAGTTTTGTTTGTTTGTTTTGAGACGGAGTCTTGCTCTGTTGTCCAGGCTGGAGTGCAGTGGTGCGATCTCGGCTCACTGCAACCTCTGCCTCCCGGGTTCAAGTGATTCTTGTGCCTTGGCCTCCCGAGTAGCTGGGACTACAGGCGCCCACCACCATGTCTGATTAATTTTTATATTTTTAGTAGAGATGGGGGTTTTACCAGGTTGGCCAGGCTGGTCTCGAACTCCTGACCTCAGATGATCCACCTGCCTCAGCCTCCCAAAATGCTCAGCTCCCAAAAGGCATGAGCCACCACACCTGGTTCTGAGTCATAATTTATAATCTGTGGCTGATTTGTTAGTTTCACAAAGGCAGTGTGGTCCCCAAGCAAGGAAGGGGTTTGTTTGGGGTAGGGGTTGTTATCATCTTTGTTTCATTGTTGGTTTGTTTTTTTGAGACAGGGTCTTGTCCTGTCATCCAGGCTAGAGCACAGTGGCACGATCTCAGCTTACTGCAACCTCTGCCTCCTGAGTAGCTGGGCCTGCAGTGCGTGCCACTACACCTGGGTAATTTCTGTATTTTTTGTAGAGACAGGGTTTCACCATGTTGCCCAGGCTGCTGTCAAACTCTTGGGCTTAAGTGTTTCACCCGCCTCGGCCACCCAAAGTGTTGGGATTACAGGCGTGAGCCACCGCACCCAGCCTGAAAGTGCTCATTCTTAAAAATAAAAAAATGCATATTAGCAAAAATAAAAATCATTCGTATTCTCCCCAGCCATTGCTAATTTTTTGGAGAACCGCAGCTTTTGGTGGTGGTCAGAATGGAGCTGTCTAAGGGGATACGTTGCTTTTAGACTGAGTACTGTTCTCAAGCTCACAATGGTGCAGTGTCGAATCAAGACGTTAGAGCGTGAAGGGGCTTTTTTTTTTAAGTGGAAGGTTTTTGTTCTTTATGTTTGCTGGCTTCCTTTTCAGAATGAGAATAGGGGCCTTGATGTGTCAAACCAGTTGCTGGTAATTACAAATTACTCCTTTTCTCTAGAAGGCTTTGGGCTTTGTTTAGGTAATTAAGCTGGCAAGTACAATTAACAGGATGTTCCCAGTGCCAGCACACCACCTTCCCGACCCCAAGAATTCTTACAAAGCAAGAAGGGTCCAAAAAGTTAGTTTAAATGAACTGTTAAATGAATTGTTTCATTCATTTTATTCACGTGTTAATCGTATCCACTTACTTTCAAAAGGAGATAGGGATAGCTACAAGACATCTGTGTGACAGAGGCACTAAAACCCTGTCTGTTGGTTGCTGTGAATCTCCTGTTTTTTGGAAAAGTGACCCATTTTAAAGTTCAGGGTGATCACCGGGCACCTGCCACGAGTGACTTCGTTTTGGTCGCTCTGGACTGTTGGGCCTAGTGCAGTACCTTAGTCCAAAACAATGGCCTCCTGTAAATTTTTTTACGCTAGTATAAGGAAGTGAGTCCCTAAAAGACAAGGCTTTTCTCGGGACTAAACTCGAAGAGGACTTTACTACCACCTGTATCTACACAGCGGACACAAAGTCGAAGATCCTCACATTGACCCAATGCCATTTCTGTTTTTCTTTTTCTTTTTCTTTTTGAATTGAGATGGAGTCTTGCTCTGTCGCCCAGGCTAGAGTGCAGGGGCACGATCTCAGCTCACCGCAATCTCCACCTCCTAGGTTCAAGCAATTCTCCTGCCTCAGCCTCCCGAGTAGCTAGGATTACAGGCACCCACCACCACACCCAGCTATTTTTTGTATGTTTAGTAGAGATGGGGTTTTGCCATGTTGGCCAGGCTGGTTTCAAACTCCTGACCTCAGGTGATCCGCCCACCTCTGCCTCCCAAAGCGCTGGGATTGCAGGCGTGAGCCACCGTGCCCGGCCCCAATGCCGTTTCCTTTTTGGCTCTTAGGAAAGGCAAAGAGGGCATTTAAAACTGGGAGTAACCCATAGTAGAATGAGTACACACAGACTTTGAGCCAGAATGCCTGGTTCAAATCCCAGCTTCACCACTTAGTAGCTGTGTGACCTTGGGCTAGCCCCTTAAACTCCCTATAGAACAGGGATGGCAAGAGTTCTTTACTCCCAGAGATGTCGTGACGATTAAATGAGTTGATATGTGCAAAGCGCTTAGAACAGTACCTGGCGTGAGTTAAAAGCTATATGAGTGTTTATTGTTTTAATTGTCTTTTGGCTTATTTCACCCCCCCAAAACATACCCAAAACACTAGAAAATTGCACTAAAATGTGCATATAAGGATACTCATTGCAAAGTTGTTTAGAATAGCCAAAAAAAAAAAAAAAAAAAAAAAGGCTGGGCACAGTGGCTCACACCTGTAATCCCAGCAGTTTGGGAGGCCAAGGCGGGCAGATCACGAGGTCAGGAGTTCGAGACCAGGACCAGCCTGACCAACATGGTGAAACCCCATCTCTATGAAAAATACAAAAATTAGCCCGGCGTGGTGGTGGGCGCCTGTAATCCCAGCTACTTGGGAGGCTGAGGCAGGAGAATCACTTGAACCTGGGAGGCGGAGCTTGCAGTGAGCCGAGATCGTGCCACTGCACTCCAGCCTGGGCAATAGAGAGAGACTCTATCTCAAAAAAAAAAAAAAAAGAAAAAAGAAAAAAAAGAAACTAGACGTCCACAGATAGAGAACTGAATAAACAGTTCATACAGTGGAATACTAGGCAAACATCACAAACGATGATGCAGATGTTAGTTTAGTGATTTGGAAAGACATCCATGCCATATATATATATATATAAATATTTTTGTTTTGTTTTGTTTTGTTTTTTGAGATGGAGTCTTGAAAAAATACACCCAGGCTAGGGTGCAGTGGCGCAATCTCAGCTCACTGCAACCTCTGCCCCCTGGGTTCAAGCAATTCTCCTGCCTCAGCCTCCCGAGTAGCTGGGACTACAGCTGTGCACCACCATGTCCGGCTAATTTTTTTGTATTTTTAGTAGAGACAGGTTTTCACCATGTTGGCCAGGCTGGTCTTGAACTCCTGACCTCAAGTAATCTGCCCACCTCAACCTCCTAAAGTGCTGGGATTACAGGTGTGAGCCACCGCACCTGGACACCAAGCCATATTTTTAAGAAAATTATTTAAAAACAATTTATGTATTGTTGTCCCATTAATTTTCTTTTCTTTTCTTTTCTTTTTTTGAGATGGAGTTTTGCTCGTTGCCCAGGCTGGAGTGCAATGGCGCGATCTTGGCTCACTGCAACCTCTGCCTCCCGCGTTCAAGCGATTCTCCTGCCTCAGCCTTCCTGAGTAGCTGAGATTACAGGCATGCACCACCACACCCGGCTAATTTTGTAAGTTTAGTAGAGACAGGGTTTCCCCATGTTGGTTGGGCTGGTCTCGAACTCCTGACCTCAGGTGATCCACCTGCCTCGGCCTCCCAAAGTGCTGGGATTACAGGCGTGAGCCATTGCGCCCGGCCTTAATTTTCTTTTTCATTTTTTAAATGTTTTGTAGAGACAGGGTCTCATTTTTGTTGCCCAGGCTGGTCTTGAACTCCTGGCCTCAAGAAATCCTCCTGTATTGGCCTCTCAAAGAGCAGGGGTTGAGCCACCATGCGTGGCCATATTTTTTATTTTTTCAGAGCTAGGGTCTTGTTCTGTTACCCAGGCTGGAGTGCAGCTACAGCTTACTGCAGACTTGAGCTCCTGGCCTCAAGTGATCCTCCCACATCAGCCTCCCAAGGTGCTGGGGTTACGGACATGAGCCAACACACCTGGCAATTTTGTTTTCCTGTACTTAGATATATTAATAGAAAAAGGCTGGAAGGATGAATCCAAACAGATGAGGCTCTCTCTCCTAATGGTGGGACTAGTCAGTGTTTTTAAAACTTTTTTTTTTGAGACAAAGTCTTGTTCTGTCGCTCAGGCTGGAGTGCAGTGGAGAGCGATCTCGGCTCACTGCAACCTCCACCTCCTGGGTTCAAGTGATTCTCCTGCCGCAGCCTCCTGAGTAGCTGGGACTACAGGCGTCCGCCACCGCACCCGGCTAATTTTTGTATTTTTCATAGAGATGGGGTTTCACCATGTTGGCCAGGCTTGTCTCGAACTTCTGACTTCAAACGATCCGCCCACCTTGGCCTCCCAAAGTGCCGGGATTACAGGCATGTGCCATCACGCCCAGCCTCCTAAAACATTTTTTTTTTTTTTTTTGCTTCTCTGTATTTTCTAGTTTGCTTCACTACCTATGCATTTCTTGAAAAGTAAGATTTGGGTGACATCACACTGTTTCTGGTGATCTGATTTAATCGTAGAGAAACCAGAGAATTAAATGGTTAGTGTGCCTGTCCCTTAGACCAGGGTCACGAACTGGGAAGAATGAGATTTTCTGCTATTAGCAAGCTAAAAAGTTAGCCTGCTATAATTTCTTTTCATGTTTTTTTTTTTTTTTTTTTTTTTTGAGACGGAGTCTTGCTCTGTTGCCCAGGCTGGAGTGCAATGGCATAATCTCAACTCACTGCAGCCTCCGCCTCCCAAGTTCCAGCGATTCTCCTGCCTCGGCCTCCCGAGTAGCTGGGATTACAGGTGCCAGACACCGTGCCAGGATAGTTTTTGTATTTTTAGTAGAAATGGGGTTTCACCATGTTGGCCAAGCTGGTCTCGAACTCCTGACCTCTTGATCCCCCAACCTCGGCCTCCCAAAGTGCTAGGATTATAGGTGTGAGCCACTGTGCCTGGCCGCCCGCCACAATTTCATGGATGTGAGCTAAAGACAGGAGACTCTGGGGCCAGAGACAAGACAAAGGATGTTTATTAGTCACAGCAAAGCAGTAGCCAGAGTGTTTGCAATTGTCCTGGTTTCCTCAGAATCACTTCCCACAGGGTGACAGGAAGAGGCTCTAGGTGACATGAGGACAGAAGGGCTTACGTTACAGCAGCGGAGCTCTGAGCCCGGGAACCGAGATCTTCTGTCATCATTGAAGCTAATCTGCCCTTTGCTCTGGAGGGAGACACGATCTCTATCTTCCAAGGCTATTCATCCTATGAAAGAGAGTCTGAATCAAAGGTAGCCAGTGGTGACGGGGAGAAACATAAGTAGAGTGAGAATTCCATACGGGGAATTGTGTCCCGACAACCAGAGCCTCTCACGGTGAATGTGCAGGGAGCTACCTGGGACTTTTCTGATACCGTAGGTCTGGTTTGCAGGGAGGACCTGAGAATCCACTAGCAAGGGAGTTTCTTTTTAAAACATTTTGTTAATTTTTTTGAGGGAGTCTTGCTCTGTTGCCCAGGCAGGAGTGCAGTGGCGTGATCTTGGCTTACTGCAGCCTCAACTTCCCAGGCTCAAGCTATCCTCCCACCTCAGCTTCCCACGTAGCTAAGACTATAGGCATGCGCCACCACACCTGGCTGGCCAAAATGTTTATTATTTTTTAGAAACAGAGTCTCGCTCTGTCACCCAGGCTGGAGTGCAGTGGTGTAACCATAGCTCACTGTAACCTTGAGCTCCTGGGCTCAGTTGATCCTCCTGCTTTAGCCTCCTGAGTGGCTGGGAGGGCCAACTATTTTTCTTTTTTTTTGTAGAGACAGATTCTGGCTCTGTTGCCCATGCTGCTCTCTAACTCACGGCCTCAAGTCATCCTCCCACTTCAGCCTTCCAATGTGCTGGGACTACAGGCACGAGCCGCTGTGCACCCCCAACAAGAGAGTTTCTAACAAGCCCCTGTCATGTTGGTTCTTCTGGTCCCAGGACCACATTTTGTGCAGTGCAGCCTTAGGCTCCGGTCCTCAACGGCACGGCGTGGGCAGGAGCTGCAGGCAGAGGCTGCGGAGAGGAGCCCGGAAGCACGGCTCTGGGATGGTGGAAGGAGGCACATGCCTGTCCAGTGACGGTCAGAGGGGATGTCAGTGGTGTCAGAGGCCCAGCTTAGACCATGGACAAACACGCAGTGTGGCCAGGAGGTCTGAGACAATGGGGGCCCTCGGGAGCCCGGGTGGTAGAGGTTTCTACCTCCCCAGGCCCCTCCTCCCCTTCTGGCCACAATTCCCAGGAACCCTTCTCTCTTCCAAAACCAGTCCTTCCATTCCACTGACCCCACGGACAAGCCCCATTGGTCTATCTCCTCCCATTGCTGCCTTGATCTATCTCCTCCCATTGTTGTTGACCCCTGGGGGGTGTGGCTTGGCTCCCACCTGCTGAGGTCTTAGATACTGCAGTGCAGTAATTAAAAGCAGGATCTCTGGAACCAGCTAGCCTGGGTGTGACATCCCAGCGTCTCCTCTTACTCCTGGTGTGACCCTGGGCAAGTCACTTTCCCAGTCTGTGCCCATTTCCTTGGATGTGATGGGAACTGTAGCATCTTGCACCTCAAACATTGTCGAGGAGCTGAAACAAAGTCATGTATGTTCAATGGCCAACACCTGCCTGGGCAGAGGAGATGCCACAGAAACAGGAACTGTTAGTATCATTCTGGCAGCAACACACAGAGAACTGAATATTTAGCAGTTGCTTGATATAGATTTCCTAAAAGACAGTTGGAGACCTTAGAGCAATTCTCTTAGGAATTGTGTAATTCTAGCAATCACCTCCTCTCTAAGCCTCAGTTGTAAAATGGAAATAATTTCTACTGCAAAGGGAGCAAATGAGATAGAAGAAGTTATATATAAACTATAAAATGCCATAAGATATTATAGCTACAATTAAAGGTGCAGGCAAGACACAGAACACACGGCATGAAAATATAACACAGGCCAGTGTTCAAGAATCACTTGAACCCAGGAGGCAGAGGTTGCAGTGAGCCGAGATCACACCATTGCCCTCCAGCCTGGGTGACAGAGTGAGACTCCACCTCAAAAACAAACAAACAAAAACAACCCATAATACAAATAGCTGCACACAACTCCTGGTATGAGCATAGCAAGTGGGCCCCATCATTCTTCCCCCACCAGCTTTACTGACGTAAAATTGACAAAAATAATGAAGCTGAAGGGGCCCATTCAGTGTTTTTTTTTTTTTTTTTTTGAGACAGAATCTTTCTCTATCACCCAGGGTAGAGTGCACTGGTGTCATCTCCGCTCACTGCAACCTCCACCTCCTGGGTTCAAGCCATTCTCCTGCCTCAGCCCCCCAAGTAGCAGGGATTACAGGCGCCCGCTGCTACACCTGGCTAAGTTTGTATTTTTAGTAGAGATGGGGTTTCACCATATTGGCTGTTGGTTAGGCTGGTCTCGAACCCTTGACCTCAAGTGATCTGCCCGCCTCAGCTTCCCAAAGTGTTGGGATGACGGGCATGAGCCACTGCACCTGGCCAGGGGCCCATTCAGTCTTATCTGGCTCTTAACTCCCCCCGCAGTGACCTCAACCCTGTAGGCCACAGCATCGTTTCTGGAAATGCATGCAGAGGCCCCTGAGCATTGGCAGTGGGTGTCTTGGGTAACGCAGTTTCTTACGACAATGTTGGGTTTCGGGCTTTCCAGCCCTCAGATTAAGGGCGAGACAACTCACTGAGAATCGTGACTGATGGAAGAGGCCGACTGTATTAGTCAGTTATTGCTGTGTAACAAGATTACCTCCAAATGTAGTGGCTTTAAACAACGTTATTGTATCAGTTTCTGTGGGGCAGGAATCTGGGTGCCTCTTGGCCGGATGTCTCCGGCTTGGGGTCTCTCACAGAGGGAGGCACCTCAAGGCTCAACTGGGCTCCACCTGCTTCCAAGCACACTCATGTGGCTGGTAGCAGGACTCAGGTCCACCATGCTGTTGGGCGGAGACATCATTTCTTTCCGGAGGGCACCTTTCCTCAGGCAGCCCACACAACACTGCAGCTGGCTTTCCCCAGAGCAAGATCCCTGAGAGAAAGAGAGAGATAAAGAGAGATAAAGAGATAAAGGTGGTGACTCACACCTGTAATTCCAGCAATTTGGGAGGCGGAGGCAGGAGGATTGCCTGAGCCCAGGAGTTTGAGACCAGCTTGGGCAATATGGTGAGACCGTGTCTCTACAACAAATACAAAACTTAGCCAGGTGTAGTGGTGTGTGTCTGTGGTCCCAGCTACTCAGGAGGCTGAGGTGGGAGGATCACCTGAGCCTGGAGAGGCTGAGCCTGCAGTGAGCTGTGACTGCGCCACTGAGCTCCCGTCTGGGCAACAGAGTGAGACTGTGTCTCAAAAAAAAGACGAAAAGTAAAAAGTGTGTCACATGGAAACCAGAGCCTCCCCCATTCCCTCTTTCTCTCTCTTTCTCTGTCTCTTGCTAATAAATAGACTCTATTTTTGTATTTTTGAGACAGAGTTTCACTCTGTCGCCCAGGCTGGAGTGCAGTGGCAGGATCACGGCTCACTGCAGCCTCGACCTGCAGGCTGATGATCCTCCCACCTCAGGCTCCCGAGTAATTGGGACTCCAGGCACATGTTGCCAAGCACAGCTAATTTTTTTATTTTTTGTAGAGACAGGGTCTCACTATGTTGCCCAGGCTGGTCTTGAACTCCTAGACTCAAGTGGTTCTCATGCCTCAGCCTCCCGAAGTGTTGGGATTACAGGCGTGAGCCACCACACGCGGCCTTCGTACCTTATTATTAACTCAAGTCCATAGTTTACATGAGGGTTCACTCTTGGTGTACATTGTAAGGGTCTGGACAACTGTATAATGACATGTAACTCCCATCTTGGTCTCATACAGAATAGTCTCATTGCCCTAAATATCCCCGTCTCCACCTACCCATTGCTTCTCTTCCTCCTCCTGAACACAGTCTCTTTTTGTAACTTCCTCTTGGAAGTGACATCCCATCACTTTTGCCATATTCTATTCACTAGAAAGAGCCAACAGGTTCAACCCGCATTCAAGAGACGAGCATGAATACCAGGAGGCAGAGATCCTTGGGGGCCATTTACCACGCCAACCGCATAAAGGCGGCCACAGCCCTGAGCTTGTCTTCCTGTGGGGCCCATGGTGGATGTTCACGAGGCTCACGCAGGAGCGCCTTGTTCCTGAGTCTCAAACCACTACCTGTGTGTGTACGAAGCATCTCGGTGCCAGGAAACCCAGAGTCTTCTCATGCTGGGGGTCTCCTATTCTGAGTTGGTCATGTGGGCACATTCTAGCTACGTGACTAGCTTTAAAGGTGGAAACTCAGGTGTCACCAAAACCAGGTGCAAATCGTAACCCCAAATGTTATTACTGAACAGTGCTGAAGGTTGCCACACTCTGCTCCAAAACAACTCACGGGCCCATGATTACAGAGCATTGTTTGTCTTTATGGATTCCATAGCAATGTCCAAGGGTCTGTAGTCTTGGAGATAAGCATGTAGTCAATTCAGGTCAATTGAGATGGACTCAAGCCCTATGAGCCACTCCCATGACCCTTGGTCAGAGGCTTTTAAAAATATATATCTTTTTTTTGAGACAGGGTCTTGCTCTGTCACCCAGGCTGATTGTGCAGTGGCACAATCTTGGCTCACTGCAACCTCTGCCTCCCAGGCTCAAGCGATCCTCCTACCTCAGGCTCCCAAGTAGCTGGGACTACTTGGGATAATTTTTGTATATTTTGTAGAGATGGGGTTTTGCTATGTTACCTAGGCCGGTCTCTTAACTCCTGGACTTGAGCAATCCACTTGCCTCAGCCTTCCAGAGTGCTGGGATTACAGGCATGAGCCACGGCGCCTCACCAAAAATGAATCATTCTTGATAGGTCATTGGATGGGGTATAAAACATTTAAAAAGTGAAAATTAAAAGGAATCATTCTTCATTTGGAAAGCAATGGACAAACCTGTTCTACTTATCGTCTCTTAGGGAATCACTCTATATTCTACACAGACTCTGGATTGGCCGGGCACAGTGGCTCATGCCTGTAATCCCAGCACTTTGGAAGGCTGAGGCGGGCCGATCGCTTGAGCTCAGGAGTTTGAGACTAGCCTCTCTACCAAAAAATACAAAAATTAGCCAGTCATAGTGGTGTGCGCCTGTAGTCCCAGCTACTCAGGAAGCTGAAGGGGGAGGATCGTTTGAGCTTAGGGGGTGGAGGTTGCGGTAAGCCTAGATCATGCCACTGCACTCCAGCCTCTGTGACAGAACCAGACCCTGTCTCAAAGAGAGGAGAGAGAGAGACAGAGACATTCTGGATACATTCTTTTTCTTTCTTTCTTTCTCTTTCTTTTCCTTCCTTCCTTCCTTTCCTTCCTTTTCTTCCTTTCCGTTTCTTTCTTTCCTTCCTTCCTTCCTTTTCTTCCTTTCCCTTTCTTTTTTTTTTTCTTTTTTGCTGGAATCTCGCTTTGTTGCCCAGGCTGGAGTGCAAGTGGCGTGATCTCAGCTCACGGCAGCGTCTGCCTCCCAGGTTCAAGTGATTCTCCCACCTTAGCCTCCCAAGTGGCTGGGACTACAGGTGCGTGCCACCACGCTGGTTAATTTTTGTATTATCAGTACAGACAGGGTTTCATCATGTTGGCCAGGCTGGTTTCAAACTCCTGACCTTAAGTGATCCTCCTGCCTTGGCCTCCCAAAGTGCTGGGATTACAGGCATGAACCACTGCGCCCAGCCAGATTCTGGATAGATTCTGTAACAATCTGTTTAGTTCATGCGTCCTGTTGGGCTGCCCTGCCCCGCTCCACGTTCTAGGTCTCTGTAGCCATCAAACACTGCATTCACCTGGCTGCTGGGATGTCCTGCCCCGCTCCACGTTCTAGGTCTCTGTAGCCATCAAACACTGCATCCTGTTGGGCTGCCCTGCCCTGCTCCACGTTCTAGGTCTCTGTAGCCATCAAACACTGTATTCGCCTGGCTGCTACGATTAGTCCACTGATGGACATATGACCCCTGCCAGGCCAGAGACCTTCTTGGGATTGATACGGACACTGGATACGGACAGAGGAGTAACTCTCTTTTCCTTACAAAATTATAAGGATATCAGTGGCTGTCTTTGTCATCCTGTGATGAGAACCTGCCTGAACATAAAGCTGATATGGAGGAGGCAGAGGTGAAATACGCAGAGAGAGACATTTTGATGACACAGTGTGACCTCCTGGATCCAGCCATGACTGAAGCCACAGGCAACCCTGGACTGTTGGCTTTATAAGTCAACCATTCCGGCCAGGCGTGGTAGCTCACGCCTGTAAATCCCAGCACTTTGGGAGTCCGAGGCGAGTGGATCACTTGAGGTCAGGAGTTCTAGACCAGCCTGGCCAACATGGTGAAACCCCATCTCTACTAAAACTACAAAAATTAGCCGGGCGTGGTGGCACATGCCTGTAATCCCAGCTACTCAGGAGGCTGAGGCAGGAGAATCGCTTGAACCCAGAAGGCGGAGGTTGTGGTGAGCCAAGATGGTGCTTTGCACTCCAGCCTGGGTGACGAGAGTGAAACTCCATCTCAAAAAAAAAAAAAAAAGAAAAAGAAAAAAAAAGTCAACCATTCCCCTTGGTCTGTAAGGTGGTTTTCACTGTGGTTTGTTTCTTGCCCTGAAGGAGTCCTCACTGCTACAGCCTGGGTGTGAGGAAGATATGCAAACTTCGAACCCAAGGTGTTCTGAGTTGAAGCTACTTGTGTGTTCCAGGAACCTTCACCCCACCTGCTTTCTATCATTATACGTTAAGCACCGGCCTTCAGGGCCCCGGCTTCCTTCCTGCTCCACTCTCTCCTGCTCCGGGGCCCCCGTCATTTGTTCTCTGTGTGTGAATTCTCTCTCTTGGCCAGCCACTGAAGCCAGATTTCGTTTGTGAAGCTGACCCTTCCAGGAGGTAAGGTCTACACCATTACTCGGGACAGTCTCTCTAGCAGACATGTGGCCACGTCAACCTGAAATACCACTGATGAAAACTCGTAGTTTGTTTCCTGGGTGCCAGGCGCCATGCTAGATGCCTCATTGCACTCGATTCTCACAGCACTAAGGCAGGAATTTGCAGTCCGGTTTTCAGATGAGGTAACTAAGGCTCGGAGAGGTGAAGCAATCTGCCAGGGGCCACAGTGCTAGCATGTGGTGGGAAAGAGGTGAATTCAGCTCTGGTGTCAAAGCTCGCCATCTTAGCTACTTTCCCAGAATGTTACCTCGCAGCTGGGAGATGACCACAGCCCCCACCCCTGCCTCTCACCGCCATGGAAGGCGCTGCTAAGCGACCGTCTCAGCCCAGTGCACCCTCACACTCCTCTGTGCCCCAGGCTCCAGCCACTGTGGTAGACCCGGAGGGCACATGAGATGCCAGCCCCGTGGCTGCCCTCTGTTCTGTCTCTGCCTTTAATACCCTGGGGCACAAGCGAGGTCCTGTGGCTGGCACTGGAGTATTTCCTGCCCCTTCCTCTCCATGGAGAGCAGAGGACAGGCCTGGCCTCAGCACAGGGAGGCCCGTTCCTGTCTGCTAACCATTCTCCATGGCAGGAGAGGACTCTTCCAAATGTCTCTTCAGTATATTTTGACAGGGTGCAAGGGCAAATGTGGAAACTGTAACTGGCCTTTTAAGGAAGGGTCAGAAGAGGGCTGCTCTGCCAGCCCAGAGCTAGCAGGGACCACGATGCCCACTTAACTTTTTTTTCTTTTTTCGGACAGAGTCTTGCTCTGTTGCCCAGGGTGGAGTGCAGTGGCACCATCTTGGCTCTGCCACCTCCGCCTCCTGGGTTCAAGCGATTCTCCTGCCTCGGCCTCCTGAGGAGCTGGGACTACAGGCACCTGCAACCATACCTGGTTAATTCTGTACTTTTACCAGAGACAGGGTTTCACCATATTAGCCAGGCTGGTCTCGAATGCCCGACCTCAGATGATCCACCTGCCCCAGCCTCCCAGTGTTGGGATAATAGGCCTGAGCCACTGCGCCCAGCCATTTTCACTTAACTTTCAAATGAGCATTCTGTGATGTCTGTATCGGCTTTAACCTCTCCTGTGTACAGTGTACATTCATTTTTTGTCTACCCCAGAACACTGTAACCTCTTGAAGGTCAGGAATCTCATCTTAGCCCTCCATGCTGTCCCTCTCAGACCCACGGTGTTGCTGAGGTAGCTGAGGCTTCCCCAGAGACCACCCTTTTCCTTTGGACCTTTCAGCTAGAAATGCCAGGAGAGACACACACACACACACACACACACACACACACACACACACCTTTCAGCTAGAAATGCCAGGACACACACACACACACACACACACACACACACAACCTTTCAGCTAGAAATGCCAGGACACACACACACACACACACACACACACACACACACACACGACCAGCCCTCGGCCAATGCCTTTGGGGAGTATAAATACCCCAGCTTCCTCACCCCCAGGTGGGATAATTCTAGAAGTGGGTTTCCCTGTGGAATTAAGCCCAGTATGAAAGCTGGCCTAATAGTCCCTGGAAGGGGGGCCAGACACAGTGGCTCATATGCCTGTAATGTTGTGGAAGGCCAAGGTGGGAGGACTGCTTGAGGCCAGGAGTTCGAGACCAGCCTGGGCAACATAGTGAGACCACACCCCCTCCAATCTCTACAAAAAATTTTTAAAATTAGCCAGGCGTGGTGGCACTCACCTATAGTCCCTGCTACTTAGGGGGCTGAGGCGGGAGGATCATCTGAGCCCACGAGGTGGAGTGCAGTGAGAGCTATGATTTCGCCACTGGTACTCCAGCCTGGGCAACAGAGCGGGATCCTGTCTAAAAAGAAAAGTCCCAGGATTGGCCGTCTTCCCTTCTCTGTATCACCCTCTACTCATCCTTTCTTCACCTCCCAGATAATCTACTTGCATTTGAACCCTCGTCTCAGGGGCTGCTTCTGGGAGAGCACAAACGACGACAGCACGTGGCCCTCACTCACTGGCTACTTGTGGAGGGGAGGAATGTGTATTTAGGAGACGCGGCGTAGCGAGGCTTTTTATAATGGAGGATTAGGAGAGGACCATGTTTATGAAAGAAGCAGTATTCCTCTTGGGACTTCCCATGGTAACTTCCCAGGGATGGAGTTCTGGAACCCACTTATTTGAGGCCATATAAAGGCAGGCCATGCATTTAATTAAAACAGAAAAAGGCTCCAAGAGGTTCAGGGCATCGTCCTCCGGCCAACAGAAGCAGGTACCGTGTGAGGAGTTTCACCATGAGATTGAGACTTAAGAGGTAAATCATCTACACGCTTTCTTTTCTTTTTGGGGCAGATTATAGACATCTAGCTGTGGTGAGAAATTAAGTAACAGAGATGCTTACTTAAGAAAAAGGAAATTCTGAAAAGAACTCTGTTCACTAAATTGCTTATGTTCTCAAGGCACTGTGGCTCTCCTGGGCAACCGAGGGCAGCTTGGTGATGGGAGAGTCGGCGTCGTCCGTGTACCGAACATCTGTTTCCTTCAGATACGGGTCTCATTTCCTTTTATGATGATGGTTTTTAACACATAAACTTGTGGTGAGGAGGAATTATAAGTTTGTGAGCGTCGTGGGTAGATTTTCACTCCAGCAGAGTAGGAGCTAAGTCAGAGTGTAGAAGCTTTGGGGTAAGGTTTCCTTCAAAACAGAGATTGGGGCACTCGGCTTTCGACGTGGGCTGCCTGTGGCTGGAGCTGCCATCTTTGTCCGAGAGGTAGGGTAAGTTCTCAGGGGCCTCCTCGGCATTGGGGTCAGTGTGGAAGCCCTTGAGGGCCTCGGGGTCGGGGTGGAAGCCCTTGAGGGCCTCGGGGTCGGGGTGGAAGCCCTTGAGGGCCTCGGGGTCGGGGTGGAAGCCCTTGAGGGCCTTGGGGTCGGGGTGGAAGCCCTTGAGGGCCTCGGGGTCAGTGTGGAAACCCTTGAGGGCCTTGGGGTCGGGGTGGAAGCCCTTGAGGGCCTTGGGGTCGGGGTGGAAGCCCTTGAGGGCCTCGGGGTCAATGTGGAAACCCTTGAGGGCCTCGGGGTCAGTGTGGAAACCCTTGAGGGCCTCAGGGTCGGGGTGGAAGCCCTTGAGGGCCTCGGGGTCGGGGTGGAAGCCCTTGAGAGCCTCGGGGTCGGGGTGGATGCCCTTGAGGGCCTCGGGGTCGGGGTGGAAGCCCTTGAGGGCCTCGGGGTCGGGGTGGAAGCCCTTGAGGGCGTCGGGGTCGGGGTGGAAGCCCTTGAGGGCCTCGGGGTCGGGGTGGAAGCCCTTGAGGGCCAAGCACCGGTACCGTTTTCTCCGATTCAGTTTATAGATGCGAATCCTTTCCTTCTCTGCCTCCGGGTCAGCAAGAATTCCATCCCAACGCAGACTTTCGTTGATCCGATTCGCAAGGTTCTCTATTTCGGCAAAGTCGGGGAGGCTGACGGTGGAGGAGTCAGAAGGGAGGTGCTTCTTTTCCACTTTGCTCTGTCTGTGCTCTGGTTTCGGGCCACGCTCTTTGCAAGGACTTAAGATGTCATGAAAGGAGGAAGAAAGCGGCTGGCTCTTCAGGCTCTGACTCTGATGTTTATCTGCTGAGTAGATGAGCAGGTTAGTGTTTGTGGCAATGTCTGACCTTGGCCTGCTGGGGATGGTGCCAAAATCACCCAAGATGGAAGAGGAGGATGGGGGCCCCTCCGTACCCAGGGCTCAGGCTGCCAAGCCCACCAGCCTCGTGCCCACCTGCCTGTGTGATTTTGCTGAAATCATTTCAGGGCAGGAGGAACCATTCATTGAGCACACAGTCTGAGCCAGGCCGTCTGGGTAAAGGCGATCGGCCCTATTCTTCGGGTGAGGAAACCGAAGCTCCAAAAGGTTCAGGAACTTGCCAATGTCATGAGCGAGTGGCAGAGCTGGGACCTGAGTGCAGGCTGGGCCCCCAATGCCCCATTCTTTCCACTGGGCCGTGCTGCCCTCATCCATCCTCGCCATGTGCTCACCACGGCCATTCCCAGTTCTGGGAGTCTGTGACTCTACCCTAGTCTAGACACTTTATGATGGAAGGAACGGAAAACAACAGAAAAGCTTCCTAAATTTGACTGAAAGCAGTATTATGCCAAGCCAGAAATACTTCTGCTGTATGGCTTGTACTGATTTTTTTTTTTAACATCAATAGCACTTCAGAATTATTTAACATGCACATAAAATGCTACAAATTGTGGTTCTTTCATCAGCTCGTCCTTTTATTTTAGGGGAGAGAGAAAGAAATCATCTTTTGACATTTCCCTCCCTTGCTACGCCCTGGAAACTATCTGGTGCCCCCTGCTGATGGTATGAGGCACATGTCACTGTAATTTCTACAGTGAAAAGCTACGCCAAAAGGACAATGAACTGCCAAATTTCTTTTTGCAGATACACACAGGGCTTTTTTTTTTTTTGAGACTGAGTCTCACTCTGCCACCCAGGCTGGAGCACAGTGGCACAATCTTGGCTCACTGCAACCTCCGCCTCTCAGGTTCAAGCAATTCTAGGTGCCTGCCACCATGCCCAGCTAATTTTTGTATTTTCAGTAGAGACGGGGTTTCACCATGTTGGCCAGGCTGGTCTTGAATTCCCAAAGTGCTGGGATTACAGGCGTGAGCCATGTGCCCAGCCACACAGGGCTTCTTGACCTGAACTGCAGAATTTTCTTGCCTTTGTATTACGCCTGAGAAGTACTTATCATCTTCCCATTGCTCCCTTCCCACACTGCACGGTCCATATGGGCGAGGCTGCCACTCTGCCTCCTGCTTGCCTTGGTGCCAGCTCTGCCACAGAGGGCCAGGCCCCAGAACTGGAGCTTAGAGCCCTCTCCCAGACAGCCAAAGCCACTGAGGTGGACCACACGGGCGACAGTGGCCTCACAGCACTCACGGGCACCTGCATTCTCTGTCACTGCTGTGCTCTCTCTCCTCAAAGTGGGTGCTCAGTCCCCTTGTCAAGAAATGTAGGGGTTCTACAAGAAGAGCTTGGTGAGATGTAGGGACTGGGGTTTATGGCAGGTAGGGTATGTGTGTTTGTGAAGGTGTCCCTGAGAGAGACTGCAATTCCTGCCTGCATATGACTACACACGCGAATGGATAACGTATTAACAGTCTGTGTGTGTAGACTAGGAATGTGTGTGCATGAGGGGGATCTGTGCTTTAGTTTTCTTGTTTGTTTTTTTGAGAGACAGGGTCTTGCTTGTTGCCCAGGCTGGAGTGCAATGGTGCGATCATAGCTCACTGCAGCCTGGAAGTCCTGGGTTCAAGTGATCCTCCCACCTCGGCCTCCCAAAGTGCTCGGATTACAGGTGTGAGCCACTGCGTCCCGCCCTTTAGTTTCACTGTTGGTGTTACATTGATAGAAGGTGGGGGGAGTGGTTGAGGGTGTCCCCCGCCCTTTAGTTTCACTGTGGGTGTTACACTGATATGAAGCGGGGAGTGGTTGAGGGTGTCAGGGATTATAGGAGGATGTCACAGTGACTGGTGTCATGGGGTTTGTGCAGTCCAAGGCTGCCCCTTGGTGGGTGCGAGGGGGAGCCCATGCAGCGAGGACCTTTAATACACACGTCTGTGGGTGTGGGTGTCTACCGCGCATCCACAGGCAGGCAGCCTTAACGCAAGAGGGTGGGAGGAGGGGAGGCAGGAGTCTGCCCTTCTCTGTGCATGAGAGTGAGGGCCTTTCATGTGGCATCAATGTGTTTGGGGTGGGGAAAGTGTCTTGTGAGGAGGGCCTCTGTGGGGAAGGCGCAGACGTTTAAGACTGCCAGTTTTGGCTGAGGGATTAGGAAGTTGAGAGGGTGTCTTTGTGTGGGGCTGGAAGGCTCTTAGGAATGGTGGATATCTGTAGGGGTCTCTGTGTGGGGCTAAGGGACCGCAGAGTTGGTGGATGGTCTCCACGGGTGGGGCTGGGGCATCAACGTGCTGCTGACGGGCATGTGTGGGGAGCAGGAGGACCTCGGTCCGGGACCACTGAGCTTCTGTTTCCGGTCTGAAGGGTAAATGGGGGGTGGGTCCCCAAAGAGTCTCCAGGGAACCGGAGCTGACGCAGCCGGGCTAGCTGCTCCTCTTACCGTCCCCCTTGCCAGACCCCTTGGTCTTCTTCTTCCTTTTTTTCTTCTTCACCTTCCGTTTGGCCAGCTCGGAGGCGCCGCCTGTGATGGGGGGCAGTCTAGACCCCCGCGGGCCCGCGGCGCCGCCCTCCCGCTCCTCCTCCTCGCCGTCGTTGTCCTTGTACCCCATTGTCCCCGCCCCACCGCGGCGGTCCAGCCGCCCGCTGGGCTGCAACCCAACCCGCCCCGGGGGCGCCCGAGGCCCGATGCCGACTAATCGGCGACTCTCAGCGCGGACCGCCAGGCCAGGGCCACGCGTCTCCATGGCGACCACCCCTGCTGCGCCTGCGCAGTCAGGACGCTTCCGCCCGGTGCCCCACGGACCGCGGTGTGCGCATGCGTGCTTCCGTCTTTTGGCGACCTTGGCACACAGCGGTGTGCGCATGTGTGCTTCTGTCGGGGATCTCGAGAACAGAGCGTTGTGCGCATGCGTACATCTGTCGGAGTGCTAGGTACGCAGCGGTGCGCGCATGCGTGCTTCCATCTGTTGGCGATACCGGCACAGCGATGTGCGCATGCGTGCTTCTGTCTGCGGAGACCTCCGCGCATAGAAGTGTGCGCATGCGTGCGTCTGTCGGAAACCTCCGCACACAGAGGTGTGCGCATGCGTGCTTCTGTCGGGGACCGCGGCGCACGGTGGTTCGCCCATGCTTGCTTTTGTCTGTTGGAATCTGGACAGTTGACCGCAGGAAGGGGAGGGTGGGCAGAGAGATTTTAAATCCCTGGGCTGACACTCATCTCGTCCAGTCCCGTGCCTCGATCCTCCTGCCTTGGCCTCCCATCCCCACGCCTGGCTAAGAGTTTTGATTTTTGGTTTCAGGCTGGTCTCGAACTCCTGGGCTCCATCGATCTTCCCGCCTCGGCCTCCTAGATCGCTGGGATCACAGGCATGAGCCTCCGTGCTCGGCCTCCTGTACCTTTTTAAATGCTGTGTATTCTCCCCTCAATTTTTATTGCCTGAGTTTCAGCCTCGTACATCTACCCTGGACTCTCAAAGCCAATGTGTCCAAAACAAACTTACTTCTTCATGGTTTTCCACTTTAGTGAACAAAACCGCTGGACTGGCTGGAAACCTGGTGGGCTTCCGTGTCCCCTACCCTCTCCCTTGTCCCTTACCCAGGCTGGGGCCGACTGCCGTGTCTGGCACTGGGACTTCTGGGTCCTCTCCTGAATGGTCTCTGCTTTCAAACCTTCCCCACGAACTCTTTTTCCGCACAGCTGCTAGAACAAACTTTTAAAAACAACCAAACCGTTCACTCTCTTGCTAAAAGTCTCCAGTGATGAAAAACAAAACATAAAAAGCCAAAAAGTCCTCCATTGCTTCCTCATCACAATTTACATCAAGATCTAAACTCTTGTGGGGCTCTGTGCAGGGCTGACACCCGTAGTCCCAACACTTTGGGAGGTCAAGGTGGGTGGATCGCTTGAGCCCATTCTGGGCAACGTAGTGAGACCCCATCTCTACAAAAAATTAACCAGCTGCGCTGAGGGGCACTTGTGGAGGAACTTGAGCCTGCAGTGAGCCGAGATCGCACCACTGCTGTCCAGCCTGGGTAACAAAGCAAGACTTTCTCTCTCTTTTTTTTTTTTTGGGAGACAGAGCCTTCCTCTGTTGCCCAGGCTGGAATGCAGTGGCGTGAACGTGACTCACTGCAACCTCTGCCTCTCAGGTTCAAGTGATTCTTCTGCCTCAGCCTCCCTAGTAGCTAGGACTACAGGTGCGTGCCACCACGCCTGGCTGATTTTTTATTTTTTATTTTTTGTATTTTTAGTAGAGACGGGGTGTCACCATATTGGCCAGGCTGGTCTCGAACACCTGACCTTGTGATCCGCCTACCTCGGCCTCCCAAAGTGCTGGGACTACAGGCTTGAGCCACCACGCCCGGCCTCTGTGTCTTAAAAAAAAAAATAACAAAGTGTGGCTTACAAGGCCTGGTATGATGCATCACCTGCTTTTCTTTCTAGGTTTACCCTCCACAGATTGTATTATCTGAAAATGGCTGCAGAGGCTGGGCATGGTGGCTCACGCCTGTAATCCCAGCACTTTGGGAGGCCGAGGTGGGTGGATCACTTGAGGTCAGGAGTTTGAGACCAGCCTGGCCAACATGGAGAAACCCCGTCTCTACTAAAAATACAAAAATTAGCTGGGCATGGTGGTGGGTGCATGTAATCCCAGCTATTTGAGAGGCTGAGGCAGGAGAATCACTTGAACCCAGGAGGTAGAGGTTGCAGTGAGCTGAAATTGCATCACTGCACTCCAGCCTGGGTGACAGGGCAAGGCTCCATCTCAAAATAAAATAAAATGATAAAATAAAATAAAACTGCTGTGCTCCAGCCTGGGTGACAGAGCAAGACTCCATCTCAAAATAAAATAAAATGATAAAATAAAACTGGCTGCAGTAATATCTCTTGTCCCACATACTCTTCAAGAATCTTGCCATTCCCATGGCAAGACGCAGAGTCTCATTCCGCTCTCCTTCAATTTAAGGGGTTTGTTGACTCGCTTGTAACCAATAGTATGTGGCAGAAGTGCCTCTGTGTGACTTCTCAGGCTAGGTCCTAAAGGGAATGCAGCATCCATCCATCTTCTTAGCCCATGACGTGCTTGCTGTAGAGTCCTGAGCCTCCCATTGAGAAGTCTGAGGACCCCAAGGCTGTCACACCTTGATAAATCCCCACCTAGTCCACGTGGAGAGCCTCTAAGATGTATGGAGAGAAAGATGCCTCAGCTCCTCCAGCCCCCACTTTTCCCATCCAGCTATCGTCCTGCAGCAGCAGCAGGAGAGACCCCAGGCCAGCCCCAAGCAGACAAGCCTTTCCTGAATTCCTGACCCAAAGAAGCTGTGAGAGAAAATACAATGGTTGTAGTTATTTAAGTTACGAAGGTTTGGAGTGATGTGTTATGCAACAGTAGATAACCAAATGTGTCTTTTTAAAAAGATATGGAATGGTATTTTATCTTTTATTTAATTTCAACTTTTATTTTAGATTCGGGGGGTACATGTGCAAGTTTGTTACATGAGTACACTGAGTGATGGTACATGACTCATGAGTACAATGTACATGAGTACATTGAGGTTTGGGGTATGGGTGATCCCGTCACCCAGGTGGTGAGTACAACACCCAACAGTAGTTTCTCAGTCCACATCTTCCAGCCCCTCCTCCCTCTAGTAGTCCCCATTACCCATTGAAAAATCAGCCTTTGATTTTAGCCACTCTAGTGGGTAAGAAGTTGTATTTCTCTGTGGTTTTGAATTGAATTCCCTTGGTGATTAACGAAGTCAAGAACTCTTGAAAGTGCTTTCTGGTCATTTGTGTATATATATATATATATGTATATATATATATATATTTTTTTTTTTTGAGATGGAGTCTTGCTGTGTGGTCTGGGCTTCCATGCAGTGGCACAATCTCCACTCGATGCAGCCTCTGCCTTCTGGGTTCAAGCAATTCTCCTCCCTCAGCCTCCTGAGTAGTTGGGATTACAGGCATGCACCACCACACCTGGCTAATTTTTGTATTTTTAGTAGAGACGGGGTTTCACCATATTGGCCAGGCTGCTCTCAAATTCCTGACCTCAGGTGATCCACCCGCCTCGGCCTCCCAAAGTGCTGAGTTTACAGGTGTGAGCCACTGCGCCCGGCCTGTCATTTGTATATCTTTAAGTGTCTTTTGAAGTCTTTTGGCCATTCTGTAATGTGGTTGTTTATTGTTGATTTGTTGTTTGTTGTTGATGTCTTTGCACAACTTGAATATAAGTGTTTTGTCAGCTTTATGACTGCAAAGATTTTTTTTCCAGGTCTGTAACTTATCCATTTTCTGAATGTGGTGTCTTTGGATAAGCAGAAATTTGAAATTCTGATAAATAATTTTTTTCAATTTTCAATTCATTTGATCAGTTTTTTCTTTTTGTATTGTGTCCAAGGATGCTTTGCCTGCCCCATATTGCAAAGACAGTGTGCTATGCTATCTTCTAGAAGCTTTATAGTTCTGGTTTTAGGTTAGGTTCATGATCTACTTCAAATTTATTATTATTTTTTGAGATGGAGTTTCGCTCTTGTCGCCCAGGCTGGAGTGCAGTGGCGTGATCTCAGCTCACTGCAACCTCTGCCTCCCGGATTTAAGCAATTCTCCTGCCTCAGCCCCCAAGTAGCTGGGATTACAGGCATGCACAAACATGCCAGGCTAATTTTGTATTTTTAGTAGAGGCAGGGTTTTACCACGTTGGCCAGGCTGGGCTTGAACTCCTGACCTCAAGTGATCCGCCCGCCTCGGCCTCCCAGAGTGCTGGGATTATAGGTGTGAGCCACCGCACCTGGCCTACCTCAAATTGATTTTGTGAATAAAGTCACATATAGGAGTCACATTTATTTTTTCCCAAATCGATTTCCAGTTTTTCCAGGAACTTCCATTGAAAAGACATTCCTTTTCCCATTGACTTGACTTGGTACTTTTCATTACGATTTTTAAAAATTTTTTTGGGATGGAGTTTCACTCTGTGGCCCAGGCTGGAGTGCAGTGGTACGATCTCGGCTCACTGCAACCTCCACTTCCCAGGTTCAAGTGGTTCTTCTGCCTCAGCCTCCTGAGTAGCTGGCACTACAGGTGCGTGCCACCATACCTGGCTAATTTTTTTTTTTTTTGTATTTTTAGTAGAGATGGGGCTTCACCATTTTGGCCAGGCTGGTCTCAAACTCCTGACCTCAAGTGATCCACCTGCCTCAGCCTCCCAAAGTGCTGGGATTACAGGCGTGAGTCACCACAGCTGGTCATTTCTGATTTTCTTTTCTTTTCTTTTCTTTTTTTGAGACAGGGTCTCACTGTTTTGCCCAAGCGGGTCTCAAATCTCTGGGCTCAAGTGATCCTCCTACCTTGGCCTCCCAAAGCATTGGGATTACAGGCATGAGCCACCATACCCAGCCTGACTTGGTATTTTTGTAGAAAATGAGTTAACTATGTGTTTGTCAATCTATTTCTGGACTCTGTTTTGTTCTGTTGTTCTGTCTATCCTTTGATCAATACCACATCATCTTGACTTATCATCTTGTATCTTTATGGTAAATCTTTTTTTTAAAAAAATACAAATAAAAAATAGAGATGGATTATCAGTATGTTCCCCAGGCTGGTCTCAAACTCCTGAGCTCACGTTGTCCTCCCGCCTTTGCCTTCCAAAATGCTGGGGTTACAGGCGTGAGCCGCCGTGCCCGGCCCATGGTAAATCTTGATGTCACGTAGTGTAAGTCTTCCAACTGTGTTATTTTTGAAGATTGTTTGGACGATTCTAGAGCCGTTGCTTTTCCATATACATTTTCAAATCTTCTGGTTTACTTCTTAAAATCCCCTTTGAGATTTTGATGGGGATTGCATCAAATCTATAAATCTGTCAGTACTGAGTAAATGACAGTCATTGGTGTGTGCGGACGCATTGCTCTATAAGGGGCCCTTCTGTTAGTAGGACGTGTGTCCTCGGTCTTCCCATCCCCTGGCAAGCTCCCTGATGTGTCCAGCACAGCTCGGCATGCAGAGTGTGCGGTATCTGCCTCTTGCCTGTCTGCTTTTGTCCTTAGAAGCTAAGTGAAATACAAATGGCAGAAGGCCTTCGTGGAAATGATCAGCTACCATCGGTCTCTCTGGGGTTTGCATTTCAGATGCCCTTTCATGCTCACCCTGGTACTTGCAGACAGGTGCTTGGAAAGGCTGGCTGCCCTCCTGCCCGTCTTCCCTCTCAGCTGGTCCTTCTTGCCTCAATGCTTACTTGGCAGGAGACAGTTTGATCATTTCTCTTCTGATTTTAGTGAAGGTTGTGTCGAGGTTATGTTGAGCCAGCCAGTGAGCTATGAAAGAGAAAAGTCACCTCAAGCAAAGGGATGCATTTTATGAATGCGTTTCATAAATAATCATAAAAAGGCCATGCAAGGAAAGCTAATCTAAATGTTTACAGGTATTTTAATTGTGCATCATTCCATTTGGTCTCCTTTGCAGTCTCTGTCTCCTCACTGACCCATCCCTTCTCAGCCCACTACAGTTGTAGTTCTGGCACCATCGTGCCATCAAAGCCGCTTTACAACGTCACCACTGTCCTTCCAAGCCATCGAACGTCACCACTGTCCTTCCAAGCCATCGAACGTCACCACTGTCCTTCCAAGTCATCGAGCGTCACCACTGTCCTTCCGAGCCATCGAGCGTCACCAGTGTCCTTCCGAGCCATCGAGCGTCACCAGTGTCCTTCCGAGTCATCGAGCGTCACCACTGTCCTTCCGAGCCATCGAGCGTCACCACTGTCCTTCCGAGCCATCGAGCGTCACCACTGTCCTTCCGAGCCATCGAGCGTCACCACTGTCCTTCCGAGCCATCGAGCGTCACCAGTGTCCTTCCGAGCCATCGAGCGTCACCACTGTCCTTCCGAGCCATCGAGCGTCACCACTGTCCTTCCGAGCCATCGAGCGTCACCAGTGTCCTTCCGAGCCATCGAGCGTCACCAGTGTCCTTCCGAGCCATCGAGCGTCACCAGTGTCCTTCCGAGCCATCGAGCGTCACCACTGTCCTTCCGAGCCATCGAGCGTCACCACTGTCCTTCCGAGCCATCGAGCGTCACCACTGTCCTTCCGAGCCATCGAGCGTCACCAGTGTCCTTCCGAGCCATCGAGCGTCACCACTGTCCTTCCGAGCCATCGAGCGTCACCACTGTCCTTCCGAGCCATCGAGCGTCACCACTGTCCTTCCGAGCCATCGAGCGTCACCACTGTCCTTCCGAGCCATCGAGCGTCACCACTGTCCTTCCGAGCCATCGAGCGTCACCACTGTCCTTCCGAGCCATCGAGCGTCACCACTGTCCTTCCGAGCCATCGAGCGTCACCAGTGTCCTTCCGAGCCATCGAGCGTCACCACTGTCCTTCCGAGCCATCGAGCGTCACCACTGTCCTTCCGAGCCATCGAGCGTCACCACTGTCCTTCCGAGCCATCGAGCGTCACCAGTGTCCTTCCGAGCCATCGAGCGTCACCACTGTCCTTCCGAGCCATCGAGCGTCACCACTGTCCTTCCGAGCCATCGAGCGTCACCACTGTCCTTCCGAGCCATCGAGCGTCACCAGTGTCCTTCCGAGCCATCGAGCGTCACCACTGTCCTTCCGAGCCATCGAGCGTCACCACTGTCCTTCCGAGCCATCGAGCGTCACCACTGTCCTTCCGAGCCATCGAGCGTCACCAGTGTCCTTCCGAGCCATCGAGCGTCACCACTGTCCTTCCGAGCCATCGAGCGTCACCACTGTCCTTCCGAGCCATCGAGCGTCACCACTGTCCTTCCGAGCCATCGAGCGTCACCAGTGTCCTTCCGAGCCATCGAGCGTCACCAGTGTCCTTCCGAGCCATCGAGCGTCACCAGTGTCCTTCCGAGCCATCGAGCGTCACCACTGTCCTTCCGAGCCATCGAGCGTCACCACTGTCCTTCCGAGCCATCGAGCGTCACCACTGTCCTTCCGAGCCATCGAGCGTCACCACTGTCCTTCCGAGCCATCGAGCGTCACCAGTGTCCTTCCGAGCCATCGAGCGTCACCAGTGTCCTTCCGAGCCATCGAGCGTCACCACTGTCCTTCCGAGCCATCGAGCGTCACCAGTGTCCTTCCGAGCCATCGAGCGTCACCAGTGTCCTTCCGAGCCATCGAGCGTCACCAGTGTCCTTCCGAGCCATCGAGCGTCACCAGTGTCCTTCCGAGTCATCGAGCGTCACCAGTGTCCTTCCGAGCCATCGAGCGTCACCAGTGTCCTTCCGAGTCATCGAATCCAGTGGACAACCTTTGTCCTTGTTGTCCCTGACCTGCCAGCAACATTTGACACTCCTGACCACTCTTTCCTTCTTGAAATGTTGTATCTGCCCGGCTTTTGGGACACCATCCTCGTGATTCTAGGCCATTCCGCCTCCTTTGCACATAAACCTTCCCTTCTAAAGGGAATGTCGAGAAGCCTCTGAATGT